>NC_000014.9:17539639-17540837 GCF_000001405.40 Homo sapiens | reverse complement strand
TATGTGTAGTTTTTATGTGAAGACATTTCCTTTTCCACAATAGGCCACAAAGCTTTGCAAACATACACTTGCAGATTCTGCAAAAAGAAAGATTCAAAAATCCTCAATCAAAAGATAGGTTCAACTCTTGTGAGTTGAATGCACACATTGCAAAGAAGTTTCTCAGAATACTTCTATGTAGTTTTCATGGGAAGATATTTCCTTTTCCACAACAGGCCTCAAAGGGCTCCAAATATCCACTTGCAGATTCTACAAAAAGAGTGTTTCAAAACTGCTCCATCAAGAGAAAGTTTTAACTCTGTGAGATGAATGCAAACATCACAAAGATGTTTCTCTGAATGCTTCTGTGTAGTTTTAATCTGAAGATAATTGCTTTTCCACGGTAGGCCTTAAGGCCCTCAAAATATCCAGTTGCAGATTCTGCAAAAAGAGAGATTCAAAACTGCTCATTCTTAAGATAGGTTCAAGTCTGTGAGTTGAATGCATACATCACAAAGAAGTTTATCAGAATGCTTCTGTGTAATTTTTATCTGAAGATATTTCCTTTTCCACCATAGGACACAATGGGCTCCAAATATCCACTTGTACATTCTACAAAAAGAGAGACGCAAAACTGCTCAAAGAGGACATATGTTCAACTCTGTGAGTTGAATGCACACGACACAAAGAAGTTTCTCAGAATGGTTCTGTGTAGTTTTTATGTGAAAATATTTCCCTTTCCACAATATGCCTGAAAGCTCTCCAAACATCCCCTTGCAGATTCTGCAAAAAGAGAAATTCAAAACTGCTAAATCAAAAGATATGTTCAGCCCTGTGAGTTGAATGCACACATCACAAATAAGTTTCTGAGAATGTTTCTTTGTAGTTCTTATTTGAAGATATTTCCTTTTCTACCATAGCCCTCAAAGGGCTCCAATTATTCACTTGCAGATTCTACAAAAAGAGTGTTTCAAAACTGCTCAATCAAAAGAAAGTTTCAACACTGTGAGATGAATGCAAACATCAAAAAGAAGTATCTCAGAATGGTTCTATGTAGTTTTTACGTGAAGATATTTCCTTTTCCACAATAGTCCTCAAAGGGCTCCAATTATCCACTAGCAGATTGTACAAAAAGAGTGTTTCAAAACTGCTCCATCAAAAGAAAGTTTCAACTCTATGACATGAATGCACGCACCACAAAGAACTTTCCCAGAATATT
>NC_000014.9:17539199-17539539 GCF_000001405.40 Homo sapiens | reverse complement strand
TCTGTCTAGTTTTGAAACGAAGATATTTCCTTTTCTGCCTTTGGCCTCAAAGCGCTTGAAATCTCCACTTGCAAATTCCACAAAAAGAGTGTTTCAAATCTGCTCTGTGTAAATGAAAGTTCAACTCTGTGAGTTGAACACACACAACACAAGGAAGTTACTGGGAATTCTTCTGTCTAGCCTTACAGGAAAAAAACCCGTTTCCAACGAAGGCCTCTAAGTGGTCAAAATATCCACGTGCAGACTTTACAAACAGAGTGTTTCCAAACTGCTGAATGAAAAGAAAAGTTAAACTCTGAGAGTTGAACGCACACATCGCAGAGCAGTTTCTGAGAATGAT
>NC_000014.9:17538759-17539099 GCF_000001405.40 Homo sapiens | reverse complement strand
TCTGTCTAGCATAATATGAAGAAATCCCGTTTCCAACGAAGGCCTCAAAGAGGTCTGAATATCCACTTGCAGACTTTACAAACAGAGTGTTTCCTAACTGCTCTATGAGAAGAAAAGTTAAACTCTGTGAGTTGAACGCACACATCACAAAAGATTTTCTGAGAATCATTGTGTCTAGTTTCTATAAGAAGATATTTCCTATTCTACCTTTGACCTCAAAGCGGCTGAAATCTCCACTTGCAAATTCGACAAAAAGAGTGTTTCAAGCCTGCTCTCTGTAAAGGATCCTTCAACTCTGTGAGTTGAATACACACAACACAAGGAAGTTACTGAGAATTAT
>NC_000014.9:16400163-16404348 GCF_000001405.40 Homo sapiens | reverse complement strand
AGGTTATTAAGATGATAACATTAAATAGTGGTTATAAAGTGCTTAGCATTCAATAAATTTATTGTATGATTTCAAAGCACATGTTTTTACCTACAGTGCTATAAAGCTGCTTGCAATAGTCAAAGCTAATAGAAGCTCTCGTCAGAGCTAATAGAAGCCTTGAGTATGTAATTATTTAAGAATTCTGTAAATATACACAATAGGGTAGGAATGAGAAAACCTTTAGAGGAAATATTCAAGTATGTTTGATTTCTAGCAAATCCAGATAGATAGTTTTGGCAACAACCAAGTCATAATTTGAAGTCTTGTTATAGGAGCTAGAATTTTATTCAAGGGACAACTGACTTGATTAGATAAGATGCTGTGCACTGCATGTTTGCATCAACAAATGCACATGTTGAAACTCTAACAATAGAATGGCATTAGAAGGAGGACCTTTGGGAAGTAATTTGGTTTTGATGAGGATGGAGTTCCCACAATGGGGTTAGCATCCTAATAAGAAGAGTAGAAGACTAGAGCCTTCTTCACTCAGCCATGTGAAGATACAACAAGAACACCTGCAAACCAATAAGAGGGCCTTCACAAGACACTGGCTCTGCTGGCCCAGATTTTAATCTTTGAATTCCCACAGCTGTGAGAAACAAGTATGTGCTGTTTAAACCACTCAGTCTACAGTTGTTTGTAGAAGCAGCCTGAGCAGACAAAGACATAGGGTTCCTTTTATTTTCAGAATTCGGTTTAGCTGTAATCACCTACCATCCTGAGATGTTGTTTCCTCCCTCCTCCCTTGAAATATAAGCTCTGGGACTATAGCTTCATGGACAAATTCTGAAGAATTTGTCTCTGCTCTTGTGGGATGCTAACCTAACCAATCAAGGAAATGTTTGCTCAATGGAATGAAACATCTTAATGCAGCTTGCCAGCCAATATCTGCAGAGCACACCTCATGGGTTCTGGCTGGCTTGGATTTCTGAGACTACTTCATCCTACTCATCAGACTGTGGACTCAGATTCAGCCAGGAGGCCCAGATTCTAGCGTCAGTTTTGCCCTTGGGATACAAATGCACGTCCTGCTTCACTCAACATGAAACCCTGACTATTTGGCCATTATTCTGGCAATTGTCCTCTCTCCCTGTGCCAATTGCCAATCAACCCAACTCCCAGGCAGCCTTGGCAGTTATGTTTGCTTGGCCTGCTGTAGCAGCCAATGACTTAGTAAAAGTCAGAACATAGATCTGCTAGCTCCCAGTCCAGGATTTCCTCATAACTCGTCCATGTATATATTAAACAATTAGCCTTGCTTTTAAAATTCTTTTTCATTTAACCTCTTCTTAGAACTTATCATTTTGAGAATCCTGACCTGCCAATATTCCATAATCTTTCTGAAAGTGACACAACTAGTACGATGCATGCACACTGCTAACTGCAGCTGATTTCATTTTCCATCATCTATAAAGCACATAAGGTAATTTCTAAACCAGCAGTAAAACCTATTTATAAAGATGCTGATTTGTTTTCTGCACTTTCCAAAACAGAGCTTCAATTTGTTTCCTTACCATAAAAATCCACTACTTTTTAAAACAATCAAAGTTAGTATATTTTCTAAATGTTTTAATTTTTGTAAAATCCAACTTGCAAATTGGAGTGTAAATAGCTTTCTTAAAATGGAAGGAACTGTGTTAGACCCAGTATGCTGATTGATGACTTCACTGTGCTTCAAAGCAGACGATTTCACAGTCATTGAGTATATAATGCAATGAGTTTTTATAAAGCAATTGATATCACTAAAAATATAATTATAATAAATAAAATTACAGGGAAAAGGAAATCTTCATTCTGACAATGCCAAATTTTTTAACTAACTCATTGCTAAAAGATTATGTTTCTACATGAAAAATTTTACACATTCTTTCTATGAGATAAACCTGATAACATCTTGAAAACTTAATAGTTATGGAAAAGGAACTATTATGATTTTTTTTAGAGAATGTCGTGTTCTTGATGTTCTTGAGTGAGCTGTCTCATGTTATTAGAAGGGAAACAGCAGCACCTTGTGCACAAACAAATAAAGTGAATAAATTTTTAGGACCCGGTGCAGTGGTTCAGGCCTGTAATCCCAGCACTTTGGGAGACCTGGGCAGAGGGTAACTTGAGCCCAAGAGTTCAAGACCACCCTGGGCAACACAGTGACACGCCGATCTTTACCAAAAATTGAAAAATTCTCTGGGCTTCTTGGCTCATACCTCAGGTCCCAGCTACTTGGAAGGCCGAGGTGGGAGGATCACTTAAGCCCAGCAGGTCAAGGCTGCAGTGAGTGTGATCATACCACTGCATTCCAGCCTGGGTGACACAGCAAGACCCTATTTCAAAAAAATTATATTTATGTAGCACTTTCTACAAGGAATACAGTATCATGTTTGTATTTAAATGACATCAGGACCAGCATGGTGGCTTACACCTGTAATCTCAGCTCCTCAGACGGCGGAAGGCAGGAGGATCGCTGGAGGCCAGGAGTTGGAAGACCAGCCTGGGCAGCATAATGAAACCCTCATTTCTACAAAAATAATAATAGTAATCAAAAGCTAGGCGTGCTGGCCCACACCTGCAGACCTAGCTACTGTGGAGGCTGAGTGGAAGGATCACTTTGAGCCCAGGAGTTTGATTGCATTGTGTATTGTGAACTACGCTCGAGCCACTCCACTCCAGACAACACGGCAAGACCCAGTCCCTAAACAAAATAAAGGAACATCAGAGCATTGTTTATAGAGATTTATAAATGATCCCAAAATGTCTTCAGGGAGATAAATCATCTAAATATAGCTATATCGACTCTTCCTAAATTCCAAATTTCGGTGGGAACAATAAATGAGATAGAAGACTTCTTGAAATGTATCAAGACTCAGGAAGACAAAACAGAAACTTTCATTAGGCAGTATCAAGAATGTTCATTAATGCTATTTCTAATTTATGATACGATCATCTAAAGAGGAAATCCCAGCAACAAGAGGGCAAAGGAAAGGGAAAAGAAATGAAAATAACGAGCATACTTTCTACACATCCAACCTCTTCTCTACCACCTCTCAGCAAGTCCTCCCACAGCCAATCACTGCTTTCTCTTGCGGACTTACCGTCTACTCTGTGAACACATGAGCCAGAGAACCCTGAGAAGTCTCTGAGTCTCTTCCAGGGGCTCTGCAAGGTCAAAAGTCTTTTCATAAAAAGACACAGGTTTTGTTTAACTTTTCCACTTTCATTCTATCACAAGTATAATTTGAGTTTCCCAGAGGCTACTTGACATGGGATGTCACAAGAAATTAAACATAGAAGCAGAAAGGAGAACCGAGTTTTCTTCTATTAAATCAGACTTTAAAGACATACCTAAAAATATAAAACAATGTCACTGTTCTCACCAACTTTACTGCTTAAAAATGATAATTTTAAATAAAAATGTGATTTATGTAAACATATATTATTTTATTTGTTTTAATTTCTCAGTTTTAATGTTTAATATGATAAATATAGATAGATATAATCCAAATAAATAAAAGCTCTTTGGGGTCCTCAATAACTTTTAAAAATGTAAAGTGTTCCTGAAACCAAAAAGTTTGAGGACTGATGCGCTAAAGCTCATACCCTTTGATGTAGCTTCCACCCAGGTCATTTCTTAAATACTTGATCAATCATTTCCCATGTCCCTCACCCTATCCTTGTTGCAAAATTCCATTTTCCTACTCCAGCCCTCCCTGTCATGAGAAAGTTCCCAGGTAGTTGACATGATTCACTAAATCTTTCTTAACAGCTTTATGATGATAACATGACATATACAAATTGTATAAATTTAAGGTAACTTAATGTTTTGATATTTCTATACTTTTCGAAATGATCACCACAATCAAGCAAATTAGCATATTATCTCTACATATTTACCATTGTGTGTGTGTTGACAGTAATTAATTTATGATCTAGTCCTTTAGCAGAACACAAGAATATGATACAGTGTTGTTCCGTGTTGTACATTATATCTCCAGAAATTATTATAACTTGAACATTGCACAGTTTAATTAACATCACCCCATTTCCCCTCCCTGAGCCCCTGGCAACCACTGTCCTATTCTCTGTTTTATGAATTTGACTGTTGTAGATTCCTCATGTAAGTGAGATCATGAAGTATTTGTCTCTGTGTCT
>NC_000014.9:16377502-16400063 GCF_000001405.40 Homo sapiens | reverse complement strand
TCTGTCTACATTTTTTGTGGAGACATTTCCTTTTCTACTGCATACCACAATGCGCTCCAAATGTCCACTTGCAGATTCTACAAAAAGAGTGTTTCCAAACTGCTCAATAAAATGAAAAGTTTAACTCTGTGAGATGAACGCACACATCAGAAAGAAGTTTCCCAGAATTATTCAGTCTAGTTTTTATGTAAAGATATTTCATTTTCCACCAGAGGCCACAAGTTGCTCAAATTGTCCACTTGCAGATTCTACAAAAAGAGGGTTTCCAAACTGCTCAATCAAAACAATGGTTCAGCTCTGTGTGGTGAACGCACACATCACCAAGCAGTTTCTCAGAATTCTTTTGACTAGTTTTTATGTGAAGATATTTCCTTTTCCACCATAGGCCTCAAAGCACTCCAAATGTAGACTTGTAGATTCTACAAAAAGAGTTTCAAAACTGCTCAATCAAGGGAAAGGTTAAACAATGTGTGGTGAATGCACACATCACAAAGAAGTCTCAGATTGCTTCTGTCTAGATTTTATGTGATGATATTTCCTTTTCTACCGTAGGCCACAAAGTGCTCCAAAAGTCCACTTGCAGATTCTACAAAAAGAGTGTTTGAAACTGCTCAATCAAAAGAAAGGTTCAACTGTGTGAGATTAACGCACACATAAGAAAGAAGTTTCTCAGAATTCTTCTGTCTAGTTTTCATGTGAAGCCATTTTCTTTTCCACCATAGGCCTCCAGGCGCTCAAAATGTCCACTTGCAGATTCTACAAAAAGACAGTTTCAAATCTGCTCATTCAAAAGGAAGGTTTAATTCTGTAAGATGAATACAAACATCACAAAGGAGTCTCTCAGAATTCCTCTGTCTAGATTTTATGTGAAGATATTTCCTGTTCTACCATAGGCTTCAAAGCATTCCATACATCTACTTGCAGATTCTACGAAAAGAGTGTTTCCAAACTGCTCAATCAAAAGAAAGGTTCAACTCTGTGAGATGAACGCACACATCACATAGAAGTTTATCAGAATACATCTGCTTAGTTTTTATGTGAAGATATTTCCTTTTCCACCATAGGCTGCAAAACGCTCCAAATATCCGCTAGCAGATTCTACAAAAAGAGGGTTTCCGAACTGCTCAATCATAAAGAAAGGTTCAACTCTGTTAGATAAATGCAAGCATCACAAAGGAGTTTCTCAGAATTCTTCTGCCGAGTTTCAATTTGTAGATATTTCCTTTTCCACCATAGGCCTGAAAGGGCTCAAAATGTCCACTTGCAGATTCTACAAAAAGATACTTACAAAACTGCTGGATCAAAAGAATGTTTTACTCTGTGAGATGAATGCACACATCCCAAAGAAGTTTCTCAGAATTGTTCTCTCTATTTATTATATGAAGATATTTCATTATCCACCATAGGCCTCAAAGCGCTCCAAATGTCCACTTTTAGATTCTACAAAAAGAGTGTTTCAAAACTGGACAATCAAAAGTAAGGTTCAACTCTGTGAGATGATTGCACACATCACAAAGAAATTTCTCAGAATGCTTCTGTCTGGTTTTTAGGTGAAGATATTTTCTTTTCCACCATAGGCCTCAAAGCGCTCTAAATGTCCACTTGCAGATCCTACAAAAAGAGTTTTTCGAAACAGCTCAATCAAAAGAAAGTTTCAAGTCAGTGAGATGAATGCAAACGTCACAAAGAAGTTTTTCAAAATGCTTCTGTCTAGTTTTTCTGTGAAGATATTTCCTTTTCCACCATAGGCCTCAAAGCGCTCCAAATGTCCACTTGCAGATTCTACAAAAAGAGTGTTTCAAAGCTGTTCAATCAAAAGAAAGGTCCAGCTCTGAGAGATGAATGCACACTTTACAAAGTAGTTTGTCAGAATGCTTCTGTCTCGTTTTTATATGAGGGTATTTCCTTTTCCACCATAGGCCTCAAAGCACTCTAAATGTCCTCTTGCAGATACTACAAAAAGGGTGTTTCAAAACTGCTCAATCAAAACTAAGGTTCAACTCTGGGAGATGAATGCACATATCACAATGAAGGTTGTCAGAATGCTTCTGTTTTTTATATGAAGATATATGAAGATATTTCCTTTTCCACCATGTGCGTCAAAGCCCTCAAAATGTCCACTTACAGATTCTCCAAAAAGAGTGTTTCAAAATTGCTCAATGAAAAGTAAGGTTCAACTCTGTGAGATGAATGCCCACATCACAAAGAAGTTTGTCAGAATGCTTCTGTCTAGTTTTTATGTGAAGATATTTCCTTTTTCGCCATAGTCCCCAAAGCGCTACAAATGACTACTTGCAGATTCTACAAAAAGAGTGTTTCAAAGTTGCTCAATCAAAAGGAAGTTTCAACTCTGAAAGATGAATGCATGCATAACAAAGAAGTTTGTCAGAAGATTTCTGTCTAGTTTTTATGTGACGATACATCCTTTTCCACCATAGGCCAGAAAGCGGTCCAATTGTCCACTTGCAGATTCTACAAAAAGAGTGTTTCAAATCTGCTCAATGAAAAGTAAGGTTCAAATCTTTGAGTTGAACGCACACATTGAAAAGAAGTTTGTCAGAATGCTTCTGTCTAGTTTTTAAGTGAAGATATTTCCTTTTCCACCATAGGCCTCAAAGCACTCCAATTGTCCACTTGCAGATTTTACAAAAAGAGTGCTTCCAAAGTGCTCAATCAAAAGGGAGGTTCAACCCTGTAAGATGAATGCACACATCACAAAGAAGTTTCTCAGAATGGTTCTGTCCAATTTTTATGTGAAGATATTTCGTTTTCCACCATAGGCCTCAAAGCACTCCAAATGTCCACTTGCAGATTCTACAAAAAGAATGTTGCAAAGCTGCTCAATCAAAAGAAAGTTTCAACACTTTGTGAGATGTATGCAGACATCACAAAAAGTTTATCATAATGCTTCTGTCTACATTTTTTGTGGAGACATTTCCTTTTCTACTGCATACCACAATGCGCTCCAAATGTCCACTTGCAGATTCTACAAAAAGAGTGTTTCCAAACTGTTCAATAAAATGAAAAGTTTAACTCTGTGAGATGAACGCACACATCAGAAAGAAGTTTCCCAGAATTATTCTGTCTAGTTTTTAAGTTAAGATATTTCCTTTTCGACCAGGGGCATCAAAGTACTCCAAATGTCCACTTGCATATTCTACGAAAAGAGGGTTTCCAAACTGCTCAATCAAAACAATGGTTCAGCCCTGTGAGGTGAACGCACACATCACCAAGAAGTTTCTCAGAATTCTTTTGACTAGTTTTTATGTGAAGATATTTCCTTTTCCACCATAGGCCTCAAAGCACTCCAAATGTAGACTTGTAGATTCTACAAAAAGAGTTTCAAAACTGCTCAATCAAGGGAAAGGTTAAACAATGTGTGGTGAATGCACACATCACAAAGAAGTCTCAGATTGCTTCTGTCTAGATTTTATGTGATGATATTTCCTTTTCTACCGTAGGCCACAAAGCCCTCCAAATGTCTACTTGCAGATTCTACAAAAAGAGTGTTTTGAAACTGCTCAATCAAAAGAAAGGTTCAACTGTGTGAGATTAACGCACACATCAGAAAGAAGTTTCTCAGAATTCTTCTGTCTAGTTTTCATGTGAAGGCATTTTCTTTTCCACCATAGGCCTCAAGGCGCTCAAAATGTCCACTTGCAGATTCTACAAAAAGACAGTTTCAAATCTGCTCATTCAAAAGGAAGCTTTAACTCTGTAAGATGAGTACACGCATCACAAAGAAGTCTCTCAGAATTCCTCTGTCTAGATTTTATGTGAAGATATTTCCTGTTCTACCATAGGCTTCAAAGCATTCCATACGTCTACTTGCAGATTCTACGAAAAGAGTGTTTCCAAACTGCTCAATCAAAAGAAAGGTTCAACTCTGTGAGATGAACGCACACATCACATAGAAGTTTATCAGAATACATTTGTTTAGTTTTTATGTGAAGATATTTCCTTTTCCACCATAGGCTGCAAAACGCTCCAAATATCCGCTAGCAGATTCTACAAAAAGAGGGTTTCCGAACTGCTCAATCATAAAGAAAGGTTCAACTCTGTTAGATAAATGCAAGCATCACAAAGGAGTTTCTCAGAATTCTTCTGTCTAGTTCTTATGTGAAGATATTTCCTTTTCCACCATAGGCCTCAAAGCACTCCAATTGTCCACTTGCAGATTTTACAGAAAGAGTGCTTCCAAAGTGCTCAATCAAAAGGGAGGTTCAACTCTGTGAGATGAATGCACACATCACAAAGAAGTTTCTCAGAATGCTTCTGTCCAATTTTTATGTGAACATATTTCGTTATCCACCATAGGTCTCAAAGCACTCCAAATGTCCACTTGCAGATTCCACAAAAAGAATGTTGCAAAGCTGCTCAATCAAAAGAAAGTTTCAACTCTTTGTGAGATGTATGCAGACATCACAAAAAGTTTAACATAATGCTTCTGTCTGGTTTTTAGGTGAAGATATTTTCTTTTCCACCATAGCCCTCAAAGCACTCTAAATGTCCACTTGCAGATCCTACAAAAAGAGTTTTTCAAAACAGCTCAATCAAAAGAAAGTTTCAAGTCAGTGAGATGAATGCAAACGTCACAAAGAAGTTTTTCAAAATGCTTCTGTCTAGTTTTTCTGTGAAGATATTTGCTTTTCGACCATAGACCTCAAAGTGCTCCAAATGTCCAATTGCAGATTCTACAAAAAGAGTGTTTCAAAGCTGCTCAATCAAAAGAAAGGTCCAGCTCTGTGAGATGAATGCACACAGCACAAAGTAGTTTGTCAGAATGCTTCTGTCTAGTTTTTCTGTGAAGATATTTCCTTTTCCACCATAGGCCTCAAAGCGCTCCAAATGTCCACTTGCAGATTCTACAAAAAGAGTGTTTCAAAGCTGTTCAATCAAAAGAAAGGTCCAGCTCTGAGAGATGAATGCACACATTACAAAGTAGTTTGTCAGAATGCTTCTGTCTCGTTTTTATGTGAAGGTATTTCCTTTTCCACCATGTGCGTCAAAGCCCTCAAAATGTCCACTTACAGATTCTCCAAAAAGAGTGTTTCAAAATTGCTCAATGAAAAGTAAGGTTCAACTCTGTGAGATGAATGCACACATCGCAAAGAAGTTTGTCAGAATGCTTCTGTCTAGTTTTTATGGGAAGATATTTCCTTTTTCGCCATAGTCTCCAAAGCGCTACAAATGACTACTTGCAGATTCTACAAAAAGAGTGTTTCAAAGTTGCTCAATCAAAAGGAAGGTTCAACTCTGAAAGATGAATGCATGCATAACAAAGAAGTTTGTCAGAAGATTTCTGTCTAGTTTTTATGTGACGATATATCCTTTTCCACCATAGGCCACAAAGCGGTCCAATTGTCCACTTGCAGATTCTACAAAAAGAGTGTTTCAAATCTGCTCAATGAAAAGTAAGGTTCAAATCTGTGAGTTGAATGCACACATCGAAAAGAAGTTTGTCAGAATGCTTCTGTCTGTTCTGTATGTGAAGATGTTCCCTTTTCCACCATAGGCCTCAAAGTGCTCCAAATGTACACTTGCAGATTCTACAAAAAGAGTGTTTCAAAGCTCCTGAATCAAGGAAAGTTTCAATTCTTTGTGAGATGAATGCACACATCACAAAGAAGTTTGTCAGAATGCTTCTGTCTAGTTTTTAAGTGAAGATATTTCCTTTTCCACCATAGGCCTCAAAGCACTCCAATTGTCCACTTGCAGATTTTACAGAAAGAGTGCTTCGAAAGTGCTCAATCAAAAGGGAGGTTCAACTCTGTGAGATGAATGCACACGTCACAAAGAAGTTTCTCAGAATGCTTCTGTCTACATTTTTTGTGGAGACATTTCCTTTTCTACTGCATACCACAATGCTCTCCAAATGTCCACTTGCAGATTCTACAAAAAGAGTGTTTCCAAACTGTTCAATAAAATGAAAAGTTTAACTCTGTGAGATGAACGCACACATCAGAAAGAAGTTTCCCAGAATTATTCAGTCTAGTTTTTATGTAAAGATATTTCATTTTCCACCAGAGGCCACAAGTTGCTCAAATTGTCCACTTGCAGATTCTACAAAAAGAGGGTTTCCAAACTGCTCAATCAAAACAATGGTTCAGCTCTGTGTGGTGAACGCACACATCACCAAGCAGTTTCTCAGAATTCTTTTGACTAGTTTTTATGTGAAGATATTTCCTTTTCCACCATAGGCCTCAAAGCACGCCAAATGTAGACTTGTAGATTCTACAAAAAGAGTTTCAAAACTGCTCAATCAAGGGAAAGGTTAAACAATGTGTGGTGAATGCACACATCACAAAGAAGTCTCAGATTGCTTCTGTCTAGATTTTATGTGATGATATTTCCTTTTCTACCGTAGGCCACAAAGCCCTCCAAATGTCTACTTGCAGATTCTACAAAAAGAGTGTTTTGAAACTGCTCAATCAAAAGAAAGGTTTAACTGTGTGAGATTAACGCACACATCAGAAAGAAGTTTCTCAGAATTCTTCTGTCTAGTTTTCATGTGAAGGCATTTTCTTTTCCACCATAGGCCTCAAGGCGCTCAAAATGTCCACTTGCAGATTCTACAAAAAGACAGTTTCAAATCTGCTCATTCAAAAGGAAGGTTTAACTCTGTAAGATGAGTACACGCATCACAAAGAAGTCTCTCAGAATTCCTCTGTCTAGATTTTATGTGAAGATATTTCCTGTTCTACCATAGGCTTCAAAGCATTCCATACGTCCACTTGCAGACTCTACAAAAAGAGTGTTTCCAAACTGCTCAATCAAAAGAAAGGTTCAACTCTGTGAGATGAATGCACACATCACATAGAAGTTTCTCAGAATACATCTGTTTAGTTTTTATGTGAAGATATTTCCTTTTCCACCATAGGCTGCAAAACGCTCCAGATATCCGCTAGCAGATTCTACAAAAAGAGGGTTTCCAAACTGCTCAATCATAAAGAAAGGTTCAAGTCTGTTAGATGAATGCAAGCATCACAAAGGAGTTTCTCAGAATTCTTCTGTCGAGTTTCAATTTGTAGATATTTCCTTTTCCACCATAGGCCTGAAAGGACTCAAAATGTCCACTTGCAGATTCTACAAAAAGAGACTTACAAAACTGCTCGATCAAAAGAATGTTTTACTCTGTGAGATGAAAGCACACATCCCAAAGAAGTTTCTCAGAATAGTTCTGTCTAGTTTTTATGTGAAGATATTTCCTTTTCCACCATAGGTCTAAAAGTGCTCCAAATGTCCACTTGCAGATTCTACAAAAAGAGTGTTTCAAAATTGCTCAATGAAAAGTAAGGTTCAACTCTGTGAGATGAATGCACACATCACAAAGAAGTTTCTCAGAATACTTCTGTATGGTTTTTAGGTGAAGATATTTTCTTTTCCTCCATAGGCCTCAAAGCGATCCAAATGTCCACATGCAGATCCTACAAAAAGAGTTTTTCAAAACTGCTCAATCAAAAGAAAGGTTCACATCAGTGAGATGAATGCAAACGTCACAATGAAGTTTTTCAAAATACTTCTGTCTAGTTTTTCTGTGAAGATATTTGCTTTTCGACCATAGACCTCAAAGTGCTCCAAATGTCCAATTGCAGATTCTACAAAAAGAGTGTTTCAAAGCTGCTCAATCAAAAGAAAGGTCCAGCTCTGTGAGATGAATGCACACAGCACAAAGTAGTTTGTCAGAATGCTTCTGTCTCGTTTTTATATGAGGGTATTTCCTTTTCCACCATAGGCCTCAAAGCACTCGAAATGTCCTCTTGCAGATACTACAAAAAGGGTGTTTCAAAACTGCTCAATCAAAACTAAGGTTCAACTCTGGGAGATGAATGCACATATCACAATGAAGGTTGTCAGAATGCTTCTGTTTTTTATATGAAGATATATGAAGATATTTCCTTTTCCACCATGTGCGTCAAAGCCCTCAAAATGTCCACTTACAGATTCTCCAAAAAGAGTGTTTCAAAATTGCTCAATGAAAAGTAAGGTTCAACTCTGTGAGATGAATGCCCACATCACAAAGAAGTTTGTCAGAATGCTTCTGTCTAGTTTTTATGTGAAGATATTTCCTTTTTCGCCATAGTCCCCAAAGCGCTACAAATGACTACTTGCAGATTCTACAAAAAGAGTGTTTCAAAGTTGCTCAATCAAAAGGAAGTTTCAACTCTGAAAGATGAATGCATGCATAACAAAGAAGTTTGTCAGAAGATTTCTGTCTAGTTTTTATGTGACGATATATCCTTTTCCACCATAGGCCACAAAGCGGTCCAATTGTCCACTTGCAGATTCTACAAAAAGAGTGTTTCATATCTGCTCAATGAAAAGTAAGGTTCAAATCTGTGAGTTGAACGCACACATCGAAAAGAAGTTTGTCAGAATGCTTCTGTCTGTTCTGTATGTGAAGATGTTCCCTTTTCCACCATAGGCCTCAAAGTGCTCCAAATGTACACTTGCAGATTCTACAAAAAGAGTGTTTCAAAGCTCCTGAATCAAGGAAAGTTTCAATTCTTTGTGAGATGAATGCACACATCACAAAGAAGTTTGTCAGAATGCTTCTGTCTAGAGTTTATGAGAAGATATTTGCTTCTCTACCATTGGCCACAAATCTCTCCACATGTGCACTTGCAGATTCTACAAAAAGAGTGTTTCCAAACTGCTCAATCTAAAGATAGGTTCAAATCTGTGACATGAATGCACACATCACAAAGAAGTTTATAAGACTGCTTCTGTCTACATTTTTTGTGGAGACATTTCCTTTTCTACTGCATACCACAATGCGCTCCAAATGTCCACTTGCAGATTCTACAAAAAGAGTGTTTCCAAACTGCTCAATAAAATGAAAAGTTTAACTCTGTGAGATGAACGCACACATCAGAAAGAAGTTTCCCAGAATTATTCAGTCTAGTTTTTATGTAAAGATATTTCATTTTCCACCAGAGGCCACAAGGTGCTCAAATTGTCCACTTGCAGATTCTACAAAAAGAGGGTTTCCAAACTGCTCAATCAAAACAATGGTTCAGCTCTGTGTGGTGAACGCACACATCACCAAGCAGTTTCTCAGAATTGCTTTTGACTAGTTTTTATGTGAAGATATTTCCTTTTCCACCATAGGCCTCAAAGCACTCCAAATGTAGACTGGTAGATTCTACAAAAAGAGTTTCAAAACTGCTCAATCAAGGGAAAGGTTAAACAATGTGTGGTGAATGCACACATCACAAAGAAGTCTCAGATTGCTTCTGTCTAGTTTTTATGTGAAGATATTTCCTTTTCCACCATAGGCCTCAAAGGGCTCCAAATGTCCACTTGCACATTCTACAAAAAGAGTGTTTCAAAGCTGCTCAATGAAAAGTAAGGTTCAACTCTATGAGATGAATGCACAAATCACAAAGAAGTCTGTCAGAATGCTTCTGTCTAGTTTTCATGTGAAGCCATTTTCTTTTCCACCATAGGCCTCCAGGCGCTCAAAATGTCCACTTGCAGATTCTACAAAAAGACAGTTTCAAATCTGCTCATTCAAAAGGAAGGTTTAATTCTGTAAGATGAATACAAACATCACAAAGGAGTCTCTCAGAATTCCTCTGTTCAGATTTTATGTGAAGATATTTCCTGTTCTACCATAGGCTTCAAAGCATTCCATACGTCCACTTGCAGATTCTACAAAAAGAGTGTTTCCAAACTGCTCAATCAAAAGAAAGGTTCAACTCTGTGAGATGAACGCACACATCACATAGAAGTTTCTCAGAATACATCTATTTAGTTTTCATGTGAAGATATTTCCTTTTCCACCATAGGCTGCAAAACGCTCCAAATATCCGCTGGCAGATTCTAAAAAAGAGGGTTTCCAAACTGATCAATCATAAAGAAAGGTTCAACTCTGTTACATGAATGCAAGCATCACAAAGGAGTTTCTCAGAATTCTTCTGTCGAGTTTCAATTTGTAGATATTTCCTTTTCCACCATAGGCCTGAAAGGACTCAAAATGTCCACTTGCAGATTCTACAAAAAGAGACTTACAAAACTGCTCGATCAAAAGAATGTTTTACTCTGTGAGATGAAAGCACACATCCCAAAGAAGTTTCTCAGAATAGTTCTGTCTAGTTTTTATGTGAAGATATTTCCTTTTCCACCATAGGTCTAAAAGTGCTCCGAATGTCCACTTGCAGATTCTACAAAAAGAGAGTTTCAAAACTGCTGAATCAAAAGTAAGGTTCAACTCTCTTAGATGAATGCACATATCACAATGAAGGTTGTCAGAATGCTTCTGTCTGGTTTTTAGGTGAAGATATTTTCTTTTCCACCATAGGCCTCAAAGCGCTCTAAATGTCCACTTGCAGATCCTACAAAAAGAGTTTTTCAAAACCGCTCAATCAAAAGAAAGTTTCAAGTCAGTGAGATGAATGCAAACGTCACAAAGAAGTTTTTCAAAATGCTTCTGTCTAATTTTTATGTGAAGGTATTTCCTTTTCCACTGTAGGCCTCAAAGTGCTCCAAATGTCCACTTGCAGACTCTACAAAGAGTGTTTCAAAGCTGCTCAATCAAAAGAAAGTTTCAACTTTGTGAGATGAATGCACACATCACAAAGCAGTTTGTGAGAATGCTTCTGTCTCGTTTTTATATGAGGGTATTTCCTTTTCCACCATAGGCCTCAAAGCACTCGAAATGTCCTCTTGCAGATACTACAAAAAGGGTGTTTCAAAACTGCTCAATCAAAACTAAGGTTCAACTCTGGGAGATGAATGCACATATCACAATGAAGGTTGTCAGAATGCTTCTGTCTAGTTTTTATATGAAGATATTTCCTTTTCCACCACGTGCGTCAAAGCCCTCAAAAAGTCCACTTACAGATTCTCCAAAAAGAGTGTTTCAAAATAGCTCAATGAAAAGTAAGGTTCAACTCTGTGAGATGAATGCCCACATCACAAAGAAGTTTGTCAGAATGCCTTTGTCTAGTTTTTATGGGAAGATATTTCCTTTTTCGCCATAGTCTCCAAAGCGCTACAAATGACTACTTGCAGATTCTACAAAAAGAGTGTTTCAAAGTTGCTCAATCAAAAGGAAGGTTCAACTCTGAAAGATGAATGCATGCATAACAAAGAAGTTTGTCAGAAGATTTCTGTCTAGTTTTTATGTGACGATATATCCTTTTCCACCATAGGCCACAAAGCGGTCCAATTGTCCACTTGCAGATTCTACAAAAGGAGTGTTTCATATCTGCTCAATGAAAAGTAAGGTTCAAATCTGTGAGTTGAACGCACACATCGAAAAGAAGTTTGTCAGAATGCTTCTGTCTGTTCTATATGTGAAGATGTCCCCTTTTCCACCATAGGCCTCAAAGCGCTCCAAATGTACACTTGCAGATTCTACAAAAAGAGTGTTTCAAAGCTCCTGAATCAAAGAAAGTTTCAATTCTTTGTGAGATGAATGCACACATCACAGAGAAGTTTGTCAGAATGCTTCTGTCTAGTTTTTAAGTGAAGATATTTCCTTTTCCACCATAGGCCTCAAAGCACTCCAATTGTCCACTTGCAGATTTTACAAAAAGAGTGCTTCCAAAGTGCTCAATCAAAAGGGAGGTTCAACCCTGTAAGATGAATGCACACATCACAAAGAAGTTTATAAGACTGCTTCTGTCTACATTTTTTGTGGAGACATTTCCTTTTCTACTGCATACCACAATGCGCTCCAAATGTCCACTTGCAGATTCTACAAAAAGAGTGTTTCCAAACTGCTCAATAAAATGAAAAGTTTAACTCTGTGAGATGAACGCACACATCAGAAAGAAGTTTCCCAGAATTATTCAGTCTAGTTTTTATGTAAAGATATTTCATTTTCCACCAGAGGCCACAAGGTGCTCAAATTGTCCACTTGCAGATTCTACAAAAAGAGTATTTCAAAACTGTCCATCAAAAGAAAGGTTCAGCTCTGGGAGATGAATACAAACATCACAAAGAGGTTTCTCAGAATGCTTCTGTCTAGAGTTTATGCGAAGATATTTGCTTCTCTACCATTGGCCACAAATCTCTCCACATGTGCACTTGCAGATTCTACAAAAAGAGTGTTTCCAAACTGCTCAATCTAAAGATAGGTTCAAATCTGTGACATGAATGCACACATCACAAAGAAGTTTATAAGACTGCTTCTGTCTAGATTTTATGTGATGATATTTCCTTTTCTACCGTAGGCCACAAAGCCCTCCAAATGTCTACTTGCAGATTCTACAAAAAGAGTGTTTTGAAACTGCTCAATCAAAAGAAAGGTTTAACTGTGTGAGATTAACGCACACATCAGAAAGAAGTTTCTCAGAATTCTTCTGTCTAGTTTTCATGTGAAGGCATTTTCTTTTCCACCATAGGCCTCAAGGCGCTCAAAATGTCCACTTGCAGATTCTACAAAAAGACAGTTTCAAATCTGCTCATTCAAAAGGAAGGTTTAACTCTGTAAGATGAGTACACGCATCACAAAGAAGTCTCTCAGAATTCCTCTGTCTAGATTTTATGTGAAGATATTTCCTGTTCTA
Source organism: Homo sapiens (assembly GCF_000001405.40). Lineage (NCBI taxonomy): Eukaryota > Metazoa > Chordata > Mammalia > Primates > Hominidae > Homo > Homo sapiens. The sequence goes on along the minus strand of NC_000014.9, from coordinate 16,387,545 downwards.
CCATAGGCTTCAAAGCATTCCATACGTCCACTTGCAGACTCTACAAAAAGAGTGTTTCCAAACTGCTCAATCAAAAGAAAGGTTCAACTCTGTGAGATGAATGCACACATCACATAGAAGTTTCTCAGAATACATCTGTTTAGTTTTTATGTGAAGATATTTCCTTTTCCACCATAGGCTGCAAAACGCTCCAGATATCCGCTAGCAGATTCTACAAAAAGAGGGTTTCCAAACTGCTCAATCATAAAGAAAGGTTCAAGTCTGTTAGATGAATGCAAGCATCACAAAGGAGTTTCTCAGAATTCTTCTGTCGAGTTTCAATTTGTAGATATTTCCTTTTCCACCATAGGCCTGAAAGGACTCAAAATGTCCACTTGCAGATTCTACAAAAAGAGACTTACAAAACTGCTCGATCAAAAGAATGTTTTACTCTGTGAGATGAAAGCACACATCCCAAAGAAGTTTCTCAGAATAGTTCTGTCTAGTTTTTATGTGAAGATATTTCCTTTTCCACCATAGATCTAAAAGTGCTCCAAATGTCCACTTGCAGATTCTACAAAAAGAGTGTTTCAAAATTGCTCAATGAAAAGTAAGGTTCAACTTTGTGAGATGAATTCACACATCACAAAGAAGTTTCTCAGAATAATTCTGTCTAGTTTTTATGTGAAGATACTTCCTTTTCCACCATAGGCCTCAAAGCGCTCCAAATGTCCACATGCAGATTCTACAAAAAGAGGGTTTCCAAACTGCTCAATCAAAACAACGGTTCAACTCTGTGAGGTGAACACACACATCAACAAGAAGTTTCTCAGAATTCTTCTGTCTAGTTTTTCTGTGAAGATATTTCCTTTTCCACCATAGGCCTCAAAGCGCTCCAAATGTCCACTTGCAGATTCTACAAAAAGAGTGTTTCAAAGCTGTTCAACCAAAAGAAAGGTCCAGCTCTGAGAGATGAATGCACACATTACAAAGTAGTTTGTCAGAATGCTTCTGTCTCGTTTTTATGTGAAGGTATTTCCTTTTCCACCATGTGCGTCAAAGCCCTCAAAATGTCCACTTACAGATTCTCCAAAAAGAGTGTTTCAAAATTGCTCAATGAAAAGTAAGGTTCAACTCTGTGAGATGAATGCACACATCACAAAGAAGTTTGTCAGAATGCTTCTGTCTCGTTTTTATGTGAAGGTATTTCCTTTTCCACCATGTGCGTCAAAGCCCTCAAAATGTCCACTTACAGATTCTCCAAAAAGAGTGTTTCAAAATTGCTCAATGAAAAGTAAGTTTCAACTCTGTGAGATGAATGCACACATCACAAAGAAGTTTGTCAGAATGCTTCTGTCTAGTTTTTATGTGAAGATATTTCCTTTTTTGCCATAGGCCCCAAAGCGCTCCAAATGACTACTTGCAGATTCTACAAAAACAGTGTTTCAAAGTTGCTCAATCAAAAGAAAGGTTCAACTCTGAAAGATGAATGCACACATAACAAAGAAGTTTGTCAGAAGATTTCTGTCTAGTTTTTATGTGACGATATATCCTTTTCCACCATAGGCCACAAAGCGGTCCAATTGTCCACTTGCAGATTCTACAAAAGGAGTGTTTCATATCTGCTCAATGAAAAGTAAGGTTCAAATCTGTGAGTTGAACGCACACATCAAAAAGAAGTTTGTCAGAATGCTTCTGTCTGTTCTATATGTGAAGATGTCCCCTTTTCCACCATAGGCCTCAAAGCGCTCCAAATGTACACTTGCAGATTCTACAAAAAGAGTGTTTCAAAGCTCCTGAATCAAAGAAAGTTTCAATTCTTTGTGAGATGAATGCACACATCACAAAGAAGTTTGTCAGAATGCTTCTGTCTAGTTTTTAAGTGAAGATATTTCCTTTTCCACCATAGGCCTCAAAGCACTCCAATTGTCCACTTGCAGATTTTACAAAAAGAGTGCTTCCAAAGTGCTCAATCAAAAGGGAGGTTCAACCCTGTAAGATGAATGCACACATCACAAAGAAGTTTCTCAGAATGCTTCTGTCTACATTTTTTGTGGAGACATTTCCTTTTCTACTGCATACCACAATGCGCTCCAAATGTCCACTTGCAGATTCTACAAAAAGAGTGTTTCCAAACTGCTCAATAAAATGAAAAGTTTAACTCTGTGAGATGAACGCACACATCAGAAAGAAGTTTCCCAGAATTATTCAGTCTAGTTTTTATGTAAAGATATTTCATTTTCCACCAGAGGCCACAAGGTGCTCAAATTGTCCACTTGCAGATTCTACAAAAAGAGGGTTTCCAAACTGCTCAATCAAAACAATGGTTCAGCTCTGTGTGGTGAACGCACACATCACCAAGCAGTTTCTCAGAATTCTTTTGACTAGTTTTTATGTGAAGATATTTCCTTTTCCACCATAGGCCTCAAAGCACTCCAAATGTAGACTGGTAGATTCTACAAAAAGAGTTTCAAAACTGCTCAATCAAGGGAAAGGTTAAACAATGTGTGGTGAATGCACACATCACAAAGAAGTCTCAGATTGCTTCTGTCTAGATTTTATGTGATGATATTTCCTTTTCTACCGTAGGCCACAAAGCCCTCCAAATGTCTACTTGCAGATTCTACAAAAAGAGTGTTTTGAAACTGCTCAATCAAAAGAAAGGTTTAACTGTGTGAGATTAACGCACACATCAGAAAGAAGTTTCTCAGAATTCTTCTGTCTAGTTTTCATGTGAAGGCATTTTCTTTTCCACCATAGGCCTCAAGGCGCTCAAAATGTCCACTTGCAGATTCTACAAAAAGACAGTTTCAAATCTGCTCATTCAAAAGGAAGGTTTAACTCTGTAAGATGAGTACACGCATCACAAAGAAGTCTCTCAGAATTCCTCTGTCTAGATTTTATGTGAAGATATTTCCTGTTCTACCATAGGCTTCAAAGCATTCCATACGTCCACTTGCAGACTCTACAAAAAGAGTGTTTCCAAACTGCTCAATCAAAAGAAAGGTTCAACTCTGTGAGATGAATGCACACATCACATAGAAGTTTCTCAGAATACATCTGTTTAGTTTTTATGTGAAGATATTTCCTTTTCCACCATAGGCTGCAAAACGCTCCAGATATCCGCTAGCAGATTCTACAAAAAGAGGGTTTCCAAACTGCTCAATCATAAAGAAAGGTTCAAGTCTGTTAGATGAATGCAAGCATCACAAAGGAGTTTCTCAGAATTCTTCTGTCAAGTTTCAATTTGTAGATATTTCCTTTTCCACCATAGACCTGAAAGGACTCAAAATGTCCACTTGCAGATTCTACAAAAAGAGACTTACAAAACTGCTCGATCAAAAGAATGTTTTACTCTGTGAGATGAAAGCACACATCCCAAAGAAGTTTCTCAGAATAGTTCTGTCTAGTTTTTATGTGGAGATATTTCCTATTCCACCATAGGCCTCATGGCTCTCGAAAATTCTACTTGCAGATTCTACAAAAAGCATATTTCAAAACTGGTCTTTCAAAAGAGAGGTTCAACCCTGTGAGATGAATTCACACATCAGAAAGAAGTTTCTCAGAATGCTTCTGTCTAGTTTTTAAGTTAAGATATTTCCTTTTCGACCAGGGGCATCAAAGTACTCCAAATGTCCACTTGCATATTCTACGAAAAGAGGGTTTCCAAACTGCTCAATCAAAACAATGGTTCAGCTCTGTGAGGTGAACGCACACATCACCAAGAAGTTTCTCAGAATTCTTTTGACTAGTTTTTATGTGAAGATATTTCCTTTTCCACCATAGGCCTCAAAGCACTCCAAATGTAGACTTGTAGATTCTACAAAAAGAGTTTCAAAACTGCTCAATCAAGGGAAAGGTTAAACAATGTGTGGTGAATGCACACATCACAAAGAAGTCTCAGATTGCTTCTGTCTAGATTTTATGTGATGATATTTCCTTTTCTACCGTAGGCCACAAAGCCCTCCAAATGTCTACTTGCAGATTCTACAAAAAGAGTGTTTTGAAACTGCTCAATCAAAAGAAAGGTTCAACTGTGTGAGATTAACGCACACATCAGAAAGAAGTTTCTCAGAATTCTTCTGTCTAGTTTTCATGTGAAGGCATTTTCTTTTCCACCATAGGCCTCAAGGCGCTCAAAATGTCCACTTGCAGATTCTACAAAAAGACAGTTTCAAATCTGCTCATTCAAAAGGAAGGTTTAACTCTGTAAGATGAGTACACGCATCACAAAGAAGTCTCTCAGAATTCCTCTGTCTAGATTTTATGTGAAGATATTTCCTGTTCTACCATAGGCTTCAAAGCATTCCATACGTCTACTTGCAGATTCTACGAAAAGAGTGTTTCCAAACTGCTCAATCAAAAGAAAGGTTCAACTCTGTGAGATGAACGCACACATCACATAGAAGTTTATCAGAATACATCTGTTTAGTTTTTATGTGAAGATATTTCCTTTTCCACCATAGGCTGCAAAACGCTCCAAATATCCGCTAGCAGATTCTACAAAAAGAGGGTTTCCGAACTGCTCAATCATAAAGAAAGGTTCAACTCTGTTAGATAAATGCAAGCATCACAAAGGAGTTTCTCAGAATTCTTCTGTCAAGTTTCAATTTGTAGATATTTCCTTTTCCACCATAGACCTGAAAGGACTCAAAATGTCCACTTGCAGATTCTACAAAAAGAGACTTACAAAACTGCTTGATCAAAAGAATGTTTTACTCTGTGAGATGAAAGCACACATCCCAAAGAAGTTTCTCAGAATAGTTCTGTCTAGTTTTTATGTGAAGATATTTCCTTTTCCACCATAGATCTAAAAGTGCTCCAAATGTCCACTTGCAGATTCTACAAAAAGAGTGTTTCAAAATTGCTCAATGAAAAGTAAGGTTCAACTTTGTGAGATGAATGCACACATCACAAAGAAGTTTCTCAGAATAATTCTGTATGGTTTTTAGGTGGAGATATTTTCTTTTCCTCCATAGGCCTCAAAGCGATCCAAATGTCCACATGCAGATCCTACAAAAAGAGTTTTTCAAAACTGCTCAATCAAAAGAAAGGTTCACGTCAGTGAGATGAATGCAAACGTCACAATGAAGTTTTTCAAAATACTTCTGTCTAGTTTTTCTGTGAAGATATTTGCTTTTCGACCATAGACCTCAAAGCGCTCCAAATGTCCAATTGCAGATTCTACAAAAAGAGTGTTTCAAAGCTGCTCAATCAAAAGAAAGGTCCAGCTCTGTGAGATGAATGTACACATCACAAAGTAGTTTGTCAGAATGCTTCTGTCTCGTTTTTATATGAGGGTATTTCCTTTTCCACCATAGGCCTCAAAGCACTCTAAATGTCCTCTTGCAGATACTACAAAAAGGGTGTTTCAAAACTGCTCAATCAAAACTAAGGTTCAACTCTGGGAGATGAATGCACATATCACCATGAAGGTTGTCAGAATGCTTCTGTTTTTTATATGAAGATATATGAAGATATTTCCTTTTCCACCATGTGCGTCAAAGCCCTCAAAATGTCCACTTACAGATTCTCCAAAAAGAGTGTTTCAAAATTGCTCAATGAAAAGTAAGGTTCAACTCTGTGAGATGAATGCCCACATCACAAAGAAGTTTGTCAGAATGCTTTTGTCTAGTTTTTATGGGAAGATATTTCCTTTTTCACCATAGTCTCCAAAGCGCTACAAATGACTACTTGCAGATTCTACAAAAAGAGTGTTTCAAAGTTGCTCAATCAAAAGGAAGGTTCAACTCTGAAAGATGAATGCATGCATAACAAAGAAGTTTGTCAGAAGATTTCTGTCTAGTTTTTATGTGACGATACATCCTTTTCCACCATAGGCCAGAAAGCGGTCCAATTGTCCACTTGCAGATTCTACAAAAAGAGTGTTTCAAACCTGCTCAATGAAAAGTAAGGTTCAAATCTTTGAGTTGAACGCACACATTGAAAAGAAGTTTGTCAGAATGCTTCTGTCTGTTCTATATGTGAAGATGTTCCCTTTTCCACCATAGGCCTCAAAGCGCTCCAAATGTACACTTGCAGATTCTACAAAAAGAGTGTTTCAAAGCTCCTGAATCAAAGAAAGTTTCAATTCTTTGTGAGATGAATGCACACATCACAAAGAAGTTTGTCAGAATGCTTCTGTCCAATTTTTATGTGAAGATATTTCGTTTTCCACCATAGACCTCAAAGCACTCCAATTGTCCACTTGCAGATTTTACAGAAAGAGTGCTTCCAAAGTGCTCAATCAAAAGGGAGGTTCAACTCTGTGAGATGAATGCGCACATCACAAAGAAGTTTCTCAGAATGCTTCTGTCCAATTTTTATGTGAACATATTTCGTTATCCACCATAGGCCTCAAAGCACTCCAAATGTCCACTTGCAGATTCTACAAAAAGAATGTTGCAAAGCTTCTCAATCAAAAGAAAGTTTCAACTCCTTGTGAGATGTATGCAGACATCACAAAAAGTTTATCATAATGCTTCAGTCTAGTTTTTATGTAAAGATATTTCATTTTCCACCAGAGGCCACAAGGTGCTCAAATTGTCCACTTGCAGATTCTACAAAAAGAGTATTTCAAAACTGTCCATAAAAAGAATGGTTCAGCTCTGGGAGATGAATACAAACATCACAAAGAGGTTTCTCAGAATGCTTTTGACTAGTTTTTATGTGAAGATATTTCCTTTTCCACCATAGGCCTCAAAGCACTCCAAATGTAGACTGGTAGATTCTACAAAAAGAGTTTCAAAACTGCTCAATCAAGGGAAAGGTTAAACAATGTGTGGTGAATGCACACATCACAAAGAAGTCTCAGATTGCTTCTGTCTAGATTTTATGTGATGATATTTCCTTTTCTACCGTAGGCCACAAAGCCCTCCAAATGTCTACTTGCAGATTCTACAAAAAGAGTGTTTTGAAACTGCTCAATCAAAAGAAAGGTTTAACTGTGTGAGATTAACGCACACATCAGAAAGAAGTTTCTCAGAATTCTTCTGTCTAGTTTTCATGTGAAGGCATTTTCTTTTCCACCATAGGCCTCAAGGCGCTCAAAATGTCCACTTGCAGATTCTACAAAAAGACAGTTTCAAATCTGCTCATTCAAAAGGAAGGTTTAACTCTGTAAGATGAGTACACGCATCACAAAGAAGTCTCTCAGAATTCCTCTGTCTAGATTTTATGTGAAGATATTTCCTGTTCTACCATAGGCTTCAAAGCATTCCATACGTCCACTTGCAGACTCTACAAAAAGAGTGTTTCCAAACTGCTCAATCAAAAGAAAGGTTCAACTCTGTGAGATGAATGCACACATCACATAGAAGTTTCTCAGAATACATCTGTTTAGTTTTTATGTGAAGATATTTCCTTTTCCACCATAGGCTGCAAAACGCTCCAGATATCCGCTAGCAGATTCTACAAAAAGAGGGTTTCCAAACTGCTCAATCATAAAGAAAGGTTCAAGTCTGTTAGATGAATGCAAGCATCACAAAGGAGTTTCTCAGAATTCTTCTGTCGAGTTTCAATTTGTAGATATTTCTTTTTCCACCATAGGCCTGAAAGGACTCAAAATGTCCACTTGCAGATTCTACAAAAAGAGACTTACAAAACTGCTCGATCAAAAGAATGTTTTACTCTGTGAGATGAAAGCACACATCCCAAAGAAGTTTCTCAGAATAGTTCTCTCTATTTATTATATGAAGATATTTCGTTATCCATCATAGGACTCAAAGCGCTCCAAATGTCCACTTTCAGATTCTACAAAAAGAGTTTTTCAAAACTAGACAATCAAAAGTAAGGTTCAACTCTGTGAGATGATTGCACACATCACAAAGAAATTTCTCAGAATGTTTCTGTCTAGTTTTTCTGTGAAGATATTTGCTTTTCGACCATAGACCTCAAAGCGCTCCAAATGTACAATTGCAGATTCTACAAAAAGAGTGTTTCAAAGCTGCTCAATCAAAAGAAAGGTCCAGCTCTGTGAGATGAATGTACACATCACAAAGTAGTTTGTCAGAATGCTTCTATCTACTTTCTATGTGAAGGTATTTCCTTTTCTACCATTGGCTTGAAGTGCCGCAAATGTCCAACGGCAGATTCTACAAAAAGAGTGTTTCAAAGCTGCTAAATCAAAAGAAATGTTCAACTCTGTGAGATGAAAGCACACATCACAAAGACGTTTGTCAGAATGCTTCTGTCTAGTTTTTATGTGAAGATATTTCCTTTTACACCACAGGCCTCAAAGTTCTCCAAATGTCCACTTGCAGATTCTACAAAAAGAGTGTTTCAAAACTGCTCAATGAAAAGTAAGGTTCAACTCTGTGAGATGAATGCACACATCACAAAGAAGTTTCTCAGAATCCTTCTGTCTAGTTTTTATATGAAGATATTTCCTTTTCCACCACGTGCGTCAAAGCCCTCAAAAAGTCCACTTACAGATTCTCCAAAAAGAGTGTTTCAAAATAGCTCAATGAAAAGTAAGGTTCAACTCTGTGAGATGAATGCCCACATCACAAAGAAGTTTGTCAGAATGCCTCTGTCTAGTTTTTATGGGAAGATATTTCCTTTTTCGCCATAGTCTCCAAAGCGCTACAAATGACTACTTGCAGATTCTACAAAAAGAGTGTTTCAAAGTTGCTCAATCAAAAGGAAGGTTCAACTCTGAAAGATGAATGCATGCATAACAAAGAAGTTTGTCAGAAGATTTCTGTCTAGTTTTTATGTGACGATACATCCTTTTCCACCATAGGCCAGAAAGCGGTCCAATTGTCCACTTGCAGATTCTACAAAAAGAGTGTTTCAAATCTGCTCAATGAAAAGTAAGGTTCAAATCTTTGAGTTGAACGCACACATTGAAAAGAAGTTTGTCAGAAGGCTTCTGTCTGTTCTATATGTGAAGATGTTCCCTTTTCCACCATAGGCCTCAAAGCGCTCCAAATGTACACTTGCAGATTCTACAAAAAGAGTGTTTCAAAGCTCCTGAATCAAAGAAAGTTTCAATTCTTTGTGAGATGAATGCACACATCACAAAGAAGTTTGTCAGAATGCTTCTGTCTAGAGTTTATGCGAAGATATTTGCTTCTCTACCATTGGCCGCAAATCTCTCCACGTGTGCACTTGCAGATTCTACAAAAAGAGTGTTTCCAAACTGCTCAATCTAAAGATAGGTTCAAATCTGTGAAATGAATGCACACATCACAAAGAAGTTTATAAGACTGCTTCTGTCTACATTTTTTGTGGAGACATTTCCTTTTCTACTGCATACCACAATGCGCTCCAAATGTCCACTTGCAGATTCTACAAAAAGAGTGTTTCCAAACTGCTCAATAAAATGAAAAGTTTAACTCTGTGAGATGAACGCACACATCAGAAAGAAGTTTCCCAGAATTATTCTGTCTAGTTTTTAAGTTAAGATATTTCCTTTTCGACCAGGGGCATCAAAGTACTCCAAATGTCCACTTGCATATTCTACAAAAAGAGGGTTTCCAAACTGCTCAATCAAAACAATGGTTCAGCTCTGTGTGGTGAACGCACACATCACCAAGCAGTTTCTCAGAATTCTTTTGACTAGTTTTTATGTGAAGATATTTCCTTTTCTACCATAGGCCTCAAAGCACTCCAAATGTAGACTTGTAGATTCTACAAAAAGAGTTTCAAAACTGCTCAATCAAGGGAAAGGTTACACAATGTGTGGTGAATGCACACATCACAAAGAAGTCTCAGATTGCTTCTGTCTAGATTTTATGTGACGATATTTCCTTTTCTACCGTAGGCCACAAAGTGCTCCAAAAGTCCACTTGCAGATTCTACAAAAAGAGTGTTTGAAACTGCTCAATCAAAAGAAAGGTTCAACTGTGTGAGATTAACGCACACATAAGAAAGAAGTTTCTCAGAATTCTTCTGTCTAGTTTTCATGTGAAGGCATTTTCTTTTCCACCATAGGCCTCAAGGCGCTCAAAATGTCCACTTGCAGATTCTACAAAAAGACAGTTTCAAATCTGCTCATTCAAAAGGAAGGTTTAACTCTGTAAGATGAGTACACGCATCACAAAGAAGTCTCTCAGAATTCC
>NC_000014.9:16374157-16377402 GCF_000001405.40 Homo sapiens | reverse complement strand
TCTGTGTAGGTTTATGTGAAGATATTTCCTTTTACACAATAGGCCAAAAAGCACTCCAAATATACACCTGAAGATTTTGCAAAGAGACTGTTTCAAAGCTGCTCAGTCATAAGATAGGTTCATCTCTGTGAGATGAATGCACACATCACAAAGAAGTTTCTCAGAATGCTTCTGTGTAGTTTTTATTTGAAGATATTTCCTTTGCCTCCATGGACTGCAAAGGGCTCCAAATATCCACTTGCAAATCCGAGAAAAAGAGAGATCCAAAAATGCTCAATTGAAAGATAGGTTCAAGACTGTGAGTTGAATGCACACATCACAAAGAAGTTTCTCAGAATGCTTCTGTGTTGTTTTTATGTGAAGATATTTTCTTTTCCACAATAGGCCTCAAAGGGCTCCAAATACCCACTTGCAGCTCCTACAAAAAGAGATATTCAAATCTGCTCAATCAAAAGATAAGTTCACCTCTGTGAGTTTAACACACACATCACAAAGTAGTTTCTCAGAATGCTTATTTGTAGTTTTTATGTGAAGATATTACCTTTTCCACAATAGGCCTCAAAGCACTCCAAATATCCACTTGCAGATTCTACAAACAGAGTGTTTCAAAACTTCTCAATCAAAAGATAGGTTCAACTCTCTGAGTTGAATGCATACATCATAAAGAAGTATCTCAGAATGCTTTTGTGTAGTTTTTACGTGAAGATATTTTCTTTTCCACAACAGTCCTGAAAGCCCTCCAAGTATCCACTTGCAGATTCTACAAAGAGAGTGTTTCAAATGTACTCAATCATAAGATATGTCCAAATCTATGAGATGAATGCACACATCACAAAGAAGTTTCTCAGAATGCTTCTGTGTAGTATTTATTTGAAGATATTTCCTTATCCTCCATTGGCTGCAAAGGGCTTCAAATATCCACTTGCAGATTCTGCAAAAAGAGAAATTCAAAACTGTTCAATCAAAAGATACGTTCAACTCTATGAGATGAATGCACACATCACAAAGAAGTTTCTCAGAATGCTTCTGTGTAGTTTTTATGGGAAGATATTTCCTTTTCCACAATAGGTCTAAAAGCACTCCAAATATCCACTTGCAGATTCTACAAAAAGAGTGTTTCAAAAGTTCTCAATCAAAAGAAACTTTCAACTCTGTGGGATGAATGCACACATCACAGAGTTGTTTCTCAGAATGCTTCTGTGTGGTTTTTACGTGAAGATATTTGCTTTTCCACAATAGGCCCCAAAGCGCTCCAAATATCCACTTGCACATTCTGTAAAAACTGTGTTTCAAAACTGCTCAATCAAAAGAAACGTACAACTCTGTTAGATGAATACACACAACAAAAAGTAGTTTCTCAGAATAAATATTTGTAGTTTTTATTTGAAGATATTTCCTTTGCCTCCATGGACTGCAAAGGGCTCCAAATATCCACTTGCAAATCCGAGAAAAAGAGAGATCCAAAACTGCTCAATTGAAACTGCTCATCTCTGTGGGATGAATGCACACATCACAAAGAAGTTTCTTAGAATGCTTCTGTGTAGTTTTTATTTGAAGATATTTCCTTTGCCTCCATGGACCGCAAAGGGCTCCAAACATCCACTTGCAGGTTCCTGAAAAAGAGAGATCCGAAACTGCTCAATCAAAAGATAGGTTCAAGGCTGTGAGTTGAATGGACACATCACAAAGAAGTTTCTCAGAAGGCTTCTGTGTAGTTTTTATGTGAAGATGTTTCCTTTTCCAAAATAGGCCTCAAAGCCCACCAAATATCCACTTGCAGATTCTACAAAAAGAGAGATTCAAAACTGCTCAATCAAAAGATAGGTTAAACTCTGTGACTTGAATTCACACATCACAAAGAAGTTTCTCAGAATGCTTATTTGTAGTTTTTATGTGAAGATATTACCTTTTCCACAATAGGCCTCAAAGCACTCCAAATATCCACTTGCAGATTCTACAAACAGAGTGTTTCAAAACTTCTCAATCAAAAGATAGGTTCAACTCTCTGAGTTGAGTGCATACATCATAAAGAAGTATCTCAGAATGCTTTTGTGAAGTTTTTACGTGAAGATATTTCCTTTTCCACAACAGTCCTGAAAGCCCTCCAAGTATCCACTTGCAGATTCTACAAAGAGAGTGTTTCAAATGTACTCAATCATAAGATATGTTCAAATCTATGAGATGAATGCACACATCACAAAGAAGTTTCTCAGAATGCTTCTGTGTAGTATTTATTTGAAGATATTTCCTTATCCTCCATTGGCTGCAAAGGGTTTCAAATATCCACTTGCAGATTCTGCAAACAGAGAAATTCAAAACTGCTCAATCAAAAGATAGGTTCAACTCTATGAGTTGAATGCACACATTGCAAAGAAGTTTCTCAGAATGCTTCTGTGTAGTTTTTATGGGAAGATATTTCCTTTTCCACAGTAGGTCTAAAAGCGCTCCAAATATCCACTTGCAGATTCTACAAAAAGAGTGTTTCAAAAGTTCTCAATCAAAAGAAACTTTCATCTCTGTGGGATGAATGCACACATCACAAAGAAGTTTCTTAGAATGCTTCTGTGTGGTTTTTACGTGAAGATATTTGCTTTTCCACAGTAGGCCCCAAAGCGCTCCAAATATCCACTTGCACATTCTGTAAAAACTGTGTTTCAAAACTGCTCAATCAAAAGAAACGTACAACTCTGTTAGATGAATACACACAACAAAAAGTAGTTTCTCAGAATAAATCTGTGTAGGTTTTATGTGAAGATATTTCCTTTTACAAAATAGGCCAAAAAGCACTCCAAATATACACCTGAAGATTCTGCAAAGAGAGTGTTTCAAAGCTGCTCAGTCATAAGATAGGTTCTTCTCTGTGAGATGAATGCACACATCACAAAGAAGTTTCTCAGAACGCTTCTGTGTAGTTTTTATTTGAAGATATTTCCTTTGCCTCCATGGACCGCAAAGGGCTCCAAACATCCACTTGCAGGTTCCTGAAAAAGAGAGATCCGAAACTGCTCAATCAAAAGATAGGTTCAAGGCAGTGAGTTGAATGGACACATCACAAAGAAGTTTCTCAGAAGGCTTCTGTGTGGTTTTTATGTGAAAATATTTCCTTTTCCACAGTAGGCCTCAAAGCGCTCCAAATATCCACTTGCAGCATCTACAAAGCCAGTGTTTCAAATCTGCTCAATCATAAGATAGGTTCAACTCTGTGAGATGAATGCACACATCACGAAGAAGTTTCTCAGAATGCC
>NC_000014.9:16367387-16374057 GCF_000001405.40 Homo sapiens | reverse complement strand
TCTGTGTAGTTTTTATGTGAAGATATTTCCTTTTCCACAATATTCCTCAAAGGGCTCCAAATATCCAGTTGCAGATTCTACAAAAAGAGTGTTTCAAAACTGCTCAATCAAAGGAAAGTTTCAACTCTGTGAGACGAATGCACACATCACTAAGAAGTTTCTCAGAATGCTTCTGTTTAGTTTTTGTTTGTAGGTATATGCTTTTCCACGGTAGGCCTCAATTCCCTCTAAATATCCACTTGCAGATTCTACAAAAACAGTGTTTCAAAACTGCTCAATAAAACGGTAGGTTCAAACCTGTGAGATAAATGCACATATCACAAAGAAGTTTCTCAGAATTCTTCTGTGTAATTTTTATCTGAAGATATTTCCTTTTCCACCATAGGACACAATGGGCTCCAAATATCCACTTGTACATTCTACAAAAAGAGAGACGCAAAACTGCTCAAAGAGGACATATGTTCAACTCTGTGAGTTGAATGCACACGACACAAAGAAGTTTCTCAGAATGGTTCTGTGTAGTTTTTATGTGAAAATATTTCCCTTTCCACAATATGCCTGAAAGCTCTCCAAACATCCCCTTGCAGATTCTGCAAAAAGAGAAATTCAAAACTGCTAAATCAAAAGATATGTTCAGCCCTGTGAGTTGAATGCACACATCACAAATAAGTTTCTGAGAATGTTTCTTTGTAGTTCTTATTTGAAGATATTTCCTTTTCTACCATAGCCCTCAAAGGGCTCCAATTATTCACTTGCAGATTCTACAAAAAGAGTGTTTCAAAACTGCTCAATCAAAAGAAAGTTTCAACACTGTGAGATGAATGCAAACATCAAAAAGAAGTATCTCAGAATGGTTCTATGTAGTTTTTACGTGAAGATATTTCCTTTTCCACAATAGGCCTCAAAGGGCTCCAAATATCAACTTACCGTTTCTACAAAAAGAGTGTTTCAAATCTGCTCAATCAAAAGAAAGTTTCAACTCTGTGAGTTGAATGCACACATCGCAAAAAAAGTTTCTCAGAAAGCTTTTGTGTAGCTTTTATCTGAAGTTATTTGCTTTTCCACAGTAGGCCTCAAAGCGTTCCAAATATCCACTTGCAGATTCTGCAAAAGAGAGATTAAAAACTGCTCAATAATAAGATAGTTTCAACTCTGTGAGTTGAATGCATACATCACAAAGAAATTTCTATGAATGCTTCTGTGTAGTTTTTATTTGAAGATATTTCCTTTTCCACCATGGGGCTCAAAGAGCTCCAAATATCTACCTGCAGATTTTATAAAAAGAGAGATTCAAAACTGCTCAATGAGAAAATAAGTTAAACTCTGTGGGTTGAGTGCACACCTCACAGAGAAGTTTCTCAGAATGCTTCTGTGTAGTTTTTATGTGAAGATATTTGCTTTTCCATAATAGGTTTCAAAGCTCTCCAAACATCCACTTGCAGATTCTGCAAAAAGAGAGCCTCTAAACTGCTCAATCAAAATATAGGTTCAACTCTGTGAGTTGAATGCACACATCAGAAAGAAGTTTATCAGAATGCTTCTGAGTAGTTTTTATGTGAAGATATTTCCTTTTCCACAATAGTCCTCAAAGGGCTCCAATTATCAGCTTGCAGATTGTACAAAAAGAGTGTTTCAAAACTGCTCAATCAAAAGAAAGTTTCAACTCCGTGAGATGAATGCACACACCGCAAAGAACTTTCTCAGAATGTTTATGTGTAGTTTTTATGTGAAGATATTTCCTTTTCCACAATAGGCCACAAAGCTTTGAAAACACACACTTGCAGATTCTTCAAAAAGAGAGATTCCAAACTGCTCAATCAAAAGATAGGTTCAACTCTGTGAGTTGAATGCACACATCCCAAAGAAGTTTCCCAGAATGCTTCTATGTAGTTTTCATGGGAAGATATTTCCTTTTCCACAACAGGCCTCAAAGGGCTCCAAATATCCACTTGCAGATTCTACAAAAAGAGTGTTTCAAAACTGCTCCATCAAGAGAAAGTTTTAACTCTGTGAGATGAATGCAAACATCACAAAGATGTTTCTCTGAATGCTTCTGTGTAGTATTTATGTGAAAATATTCCCTTTTACATAATAAGCCTCAACGTTCTCCAAACATCCGCTTGCAGATTCTGCAAAAAGAGAGATTCAAAACTGCTCGATCAAAAGATAGGTTCAACTCTGTGAGTTGAATGCACACATCACAAAGTAGTTTCTCAGAATGCTTCTGAGTAGTTTTTATGTGAACATATTTCATTTCCCACAGTAGGTCTCACAGTGCTCCAAATATCCACTTGCAAATTCTACAAAAAGAGAAATTCAAAACTGCTAAATCAAAAGATATGTTCAGCCCTGTGAGTTGAATGCACACATCACAAATAAGTTTCTGAGAATGTTTCTGTTTAGTTTTTATTTGAAAATATTTCTTTTTCCACCAAAGGCCGCAAATGGCTCCAAATATCTACTTGCAGTTTCTGCCAAAAGAGAGATTCAAATCTGCTCAATCAAAAGATAGGTTCAACTCTGTGAGTTGAATGCACACATCCCAAAGAAGTTTCTCAGAATGCTTCTGTGTAGTTTTTATATGAAGATATTTGCTTTTCCTCAGTATGCCTCAAAGGGCAGCAAATATCCACTTGCAGATTCTACAAATAGAGAGATTCAAAACTGCTCAATGAGAAGAAAAGTTTAACTCTGTGGGTTGAATGGACTCCTCATAAAGAAGTTTCTCAGAATGCTTCTGTGTAGTTTTTATGTGAAGATATTTCCTTTTCCACAATATTCCTCAAAGGGCTCCAAATATCCAGTTGCAGATTCTACAAAAAGAGTGTTTCAAAACTGCTCAATCAAAGGAAAGTTTCAACTCTGTGAGACGAATGCACACATCACTAAGAAGTTTCTCAGAATGCTTCTGTTTAGTTTTTGTTTGTAGGTATATGCTTTTCCACGGTAGGCCTCAATTCCCTCTAAATATCCACTTGCAGATTCTACAAAAACAGTGTTTCAAAACTGCTCAATAAAACGGTAGGTTCAAACCTGTGAGATAAATGCACATATCACAAAGAAGTTTCTCAGAATTCTTCTGTGTAATTTTTATCTGAAGATATTTCCTTTTCCACCATAGGACACAATGGGCTCCAAATATCCACTTGTACATTCTACAAAAAGAGAGACGCAAAACTGCTCAAAGAGGACATATGTTCAACTCTGTGAGTTGAATGCACACGACACAAAGAAGTTTCTCAGAATGGTTCTGTGTAGTTTTTATGTGAAAATATTTCCCTTTCCACAATATGCCTGAAAGCTCTCCAAACATCCCCTTGCAGATTCTGCCAAAAGAGAAATTCAAAACTGCTAAATCAAAAGATATGTTCAGCCCTGTGAGTTGAATGCACACATCACAAATAAGTTTCTGAGAATGTTTCTGTGTAGTTCTTATTTGAAGATATTTCCTTCTCCACCACAGGGCGCAAAGGGATCCAATTATTCCACTTGCAGATTCTACAAAAAGAGTGTTTCAAAACTGCTCAATGAAAAGAAAGTTTCAACATTGTTAGATGAATGCAAGCATCACAAAGAAGTATCTCAGAATGATTCTATGTAGTTTTTATGTGAAGATATTTCCTTTTCCACAATAGGCCTCAAAGGGCTCCAAATATCAACTTACAGTTTCTACAAAAAGAGTGTTTCAAATCTGCTCAATCAAAAGAAAGTTTCAACTCTGTGAGTTGAATGCACACATCGCAAAAAAGTTTCTCAGAAAGCTTTTGTGTAGCTTTTATCTGAAGTTATTTGCTTTTCCACAGTAGGCCTCAAAGCGCTCCAAATATCCACTTGCAGATTCTGCAAAAGAGAGATTAAAAACTGCTCAATAATAAGATAGTTTCAACTCTGTGAGTTGAATGCATACATCACAAAGAAATTTCTATGAATGCTTCTGTGTAGTTTTTATTTGAAGATATCTCCTTTTCCACCATGGGGCTCAAAGAGCTCCAAATATCTACCTGCAGATTTTATAAAAAGAGAGATTCAAAACTGCTCAATGAGAAAATAAGTTAAACTCTGTGGGTTGAGTGCACACCTCACAGAGAAGTTTCTCAGAATGCTTCTGTGTAGTTTTTATGTGAAGATATTTGCTTTTCCATAATAGGTTTCAAAGCTCTCCAAACATCCACTTGCAGATTCTGCAAAAAGAGAGCTTCTAAACTGCTCAATCAAAATATAGGTTCAACTCTGTGAGTTGAATGCACACATCAGAAAGAAGTTTATCAGAATGCTTCTGTGTAGTTTTTATTTGAAGATATTTCCTTTTCCACAATAGTCCTCAAAGGGCTCCAATTATCCACTAGCAGATTGTACAAAAAGAGTGTTTCAAAACTGCTCCATCAAAAGAAAGTTTCAACTCTATGACATGAATGCACGCACCACAAAGAACTTTCCCAGAATATTTATGTGTAGTTTTTATGTGAAGACATTTCCTTTTCCACAATAGGCCACAAAGCTTTGCAAACATACACTTGCAGATTCTGCAAAAAGAAAGATTCAAAAATCCTCAATCAAAAGATAGGTTCAACTCTTGTGAGTTGAATGCACACATTGCAAAGAAGTTTCTCAGAATACTTCTATGTAGTTTTCATGGGAAGATATTTCCTTTTCCACAACAGGCCTCAAAGGGCTCCAAATATCCACTTGCAGATTCTACAAAAAGAGTGTTTCAAAACTGCTCCATCAAGAGAAAGTTTTAACTCTGTGAGATGAATGCAAACATCACAAAGATGTTTCTCTGAATGCTTCTGTGTAGTTTTAATCTGAAGATAATTGCTTTTCCACGGTAGGCCTTAAGGCCCTCAAAATATCCAGTTGCAGATTCTGCAAAAAGAGAGATTCAAAACTGCTCATTCTTAAGATAGGTTCAAGTCTGTGAGTTGAATGCATACATCACAAAGAAGTTTATCAGAATGCTCCTGAATAGTTTTTATGTGAAGATATTTACTTTTCCACAATAGCCCTCAAAGGGCTCCAAATATCCAGTTGCAGATTCTACAAAAAGAGTGTTTCAAAACTGCTCAATCATAAGATAGTTTCAACCCTGTGAGATGAATGCACACATCACAAAGAAGTTTCTCAGTATGTTTCTGTTTAGTTTTTATTTGAAAATATTTCTTTTTCCACAAAAGGCCGCAAATGGCTCCAAATATCTACTTGCAGTTTCTGCCAAAAGAGAGATTCAAATCTGCTCAATCAAAAGATAGGTTCAACTCTGTGAGTTGAATGCACACATCCCAAAGAAGTTTCTCAGAATGCTTCTGTGTAGTTTTTATATGAAGATATTTGCTTTTCCTCAGTATGCCTCAAAGGGCAGCAAATATCCACTTGCAGATTCTACAAATAGAGAGATTCAAAACTGCTCAATGAGAAGAAAAGTTTAACTCTGTGGGTTGAATGGACTCCTCATAAAGAAGTTTCTCAGAATGCTTCTGTGTAGTTTTTATGTGAAGATATTTCCTTTTCCACAATATTCCTCAAAGGGCTCCAAATATCCAGTTGCAGATTCTACAAAAAGAGTGTTTCAAAACTGCTCAATCAAAGGAAAGTTTCAACTCTGTGAGACGAATGCACACATCACTAAGAAGTTTCTCAGAATGCTTCTGTTTAGTTTTTGTTTGTAGGTATATGCTTTTCCACGGTAGGCCTCAATTCCCTCTAAATATCCACTTGCAGATTCTACAAAAACAGTGTTTCAAAACTGCTCAATAAAACGGTAGGTTCAAACCTGTGAGATAAATGCACATATCACAAAGAAGTTTCTCAGAATTCTTCTGTGTAATTTTTATCTGAAGATATTTCCTTTTCCACCATAGGACACAATGGGCTCCAAATATCCACTTGTACATTCTACAAAAAGAGAGACGCAAAACTGCTCAAAGAGGACATATGTTCAACTCTGTGAGTCGAATGCACACGACACAAAGAAGTTTCTCAGAATGGTTCTGAGTAGTTTTTATGTGAACATATTTCATTTCCCACAGTAGGTCTCACAGCGCTCCAAATATCCACTTGCAAATTCTACAAAAAGAGAAATTCAAAAGTGCTAAATCAAAAGATATGTTCAGGTCTGTGAGTTGAATGCTCACATCACAAATAAGTTTCTGAGAATGTTTCTTTGTAGTTCTTATTTGAAGATATTTCCTTTTCTACCATAGCCCTCAAAGGGCTCCAATTATTCACTTGCAGATTCTACAAAAAGAGTGTTTCAAAACTGCTCAATCAAAAGAAACTTTCAACACTGTGAGATGAATGCAAACATCAAAAAGAAGTATCTCAGAATGGTTCTATGTAGTTTTTACGTGAAGATATTTCCTTTTCCACAATAGGCCTCAAAGGGCTCCAAATATCAACTTACAGTTTCTACAAAAAGAGTGTTTCAAATCTGCTCAATCAAAAGAAAGTTTCAACTCTGTGAGTTGAATGCACACATCGCAAAAAAGTTTCTCAGAAAGCTTCTGTGTAGCTTTTATCTGAAGATATTTGCTTTTCCACGGTAGGCCTCAAAGCGCTCCAAATATCCAGTTGCAGATTCTGCAAAAAGAGAGATTCAAAACTGCTCAATAATAAGATAGTTTCAACTCTGTGAGTTGAATGCATACATCACAAAGAAGTTTCTATGAATGCT
>NC_000014.9:16346617-16367287 GCF_000001405.40 Homo sapiens | reverse complement strand
TCTTTCTAGTTTTTATATGAAGATATTCCCGTGTCCAACAAAGGCCTCCAATCAGTCCAAATATCCACTGGCAGATTCTACGAAGAGTGTTTCAAAACTGCTCTATGAAAAGGGACGTTCAACTCTGTGAGTTCAATGCAAACATCACAGCGGAGATTCTGAAAATGCTTCTGTCCTGTTTTTATGTGAAGATATTTCCTTTTCCACCATAGGCCTCAAAGCTCTCCAAATCACCACTTGCAGATGCTACAAAAACAGTGTTTCAAAACTGCCCTATCAAAATAAAGGTTAACACAGTGAGTTGAATGCAATCATCACAAAGTCGTTGCTGAGAATGCTTCTGTCTCGTTTTCATGTGAAGATATTCTCGTTTACAATGAAGGCCTCAAAGCATTCCAAATATACACTTGCAGATTCTACGAAAAGAGTGCTTCAAAACAGCTCTATGAAAAGGTGTGTTCAACTCTGTGAGTTGAATGCAAACGTCACAAAGAAGTTTCTGAGAATCTTTGTGTCTGGTTTTTATGTGAAGATATTTCCTTTTCCACCGTAGGCCTCAAAGCTCTCCAAATGTCCACTGGCAGATTCTACAAAAACGGTTTTTCAAAACTGCTCTATCAATAGAAAGCTTCAACTCTGAGAGTTGAATTCACACATCACAAAGAAGTTTCTGAGAATGCTTCTGTTTCGTTTTTATGTGAAGATTTTCCCATTTCCAACGAAGGCCTCAAAGCCGTCCAAATATCCATTTGCAGATTCTACGAAAAGTGTGTTTCAAAACTTCTCTATGAAAAGGTATGTTTAATTCTGTGAGTTGAATGCAACCATCACAAAGAAGTTTCTGAGAATCCTTCTGTCTAGTTTTTATGTGAAGATATTTCCTTCTCCACCACAGGCCTCGAAGCTCTGAAAATTTCCACATGCAGATTCTAAAAAAACAGTGCTTCAAAACAGCTCTATCAAAAGAAAGGTTCAGCTCTGTGAGTTGAATGCACACATCACAAAGAAGGCTCTGAGAATGCTTCTCTCTAGTTTTTATGTGAAGATATTCCCGTTTACAAAGAAGGCCTCAAAGCACTCAATATATCCACTTGCAGATTCTAAAAAAACAGTGCTTCAAAACAGCTCTATCAAAAGAAAGGTTCAGCTCTGTAAGTTGAATGCACACATCACAAAGACGGCTCTGAGAATGCTTCTGTCTAGTTTTTATGTGAAGATATTCCCGTTTACAAAGAAGGCCTCAAAGCACTCCATATATCAACTTACAGATTCTACAAAAAGAGTGTTTCAAAACTGCTCTGTGAAAAGGTATGTTCAACTCTGTGGGTTGAATGCAAACAATACAAAGAAGTTTCTGAGAATGCTTCCATCTGGTTTTTATGTGAAGGTATTTCCTTTTCCACCACAGGCCTCAAAGCTTTCCAAATGTCCACTTGCAGATTCTACAAAAAGAGTGTTTAAAAACTGCTCTATCAAAAGGAAGATTCAACTCTTTGTGTTGAATGTGCAGATCACAAAGAAGTTTCTGAGAATGCTTCTGTCTAGTTTTTATGTGGAGATATTCCCGTTTCCAACGAAGGCCTCTAAGCAGTACAAATATCCACTTTGCAGATTTTGCGAAAAGAGTGTTTCCAAACTGCTCTATCAACAGAAAGGTTCAACTTCTGTGAGTTGAATGCACACATCACAAAGAAATTTCCCAGAATTCTTCTGTCTAGTTCTTATGTGAAGATATTCCCGTTTCCGACGAAGGCCTCAAAGCAGTCCAAATATCCACTTGCAGATTCTACGAAACGAGTGTTTCAAAACTGCTCTATGACAAGGTATGTTCAAATCTGTGATTTGAATGCACACATCACAAAGAACTTTCTGAGAATGCATCTGTCTAGTTTTTATGTAAAGATATTCCTGTTTCCAAAGAAAACCTAAAAGCAGTCCAAATATCCACTTGCAGATTCTACGAAAAGAGTGTTTCAAAACTCCTCTATGAAAAGGTATTTTCAACTTTGTGAGTTGAATGCAAACAGCACAAAGAAGTTTCTCAGAATGCTTCTGTCTGGTTTTTATGTGAAGATATTTTCTTTCTCACCATAGGCCTCAAAGCTCTCCAAATGTCCACTTGCAGATTCTTCAAAAAGAGTGTTTCAAGACTGGTCTATGAAAAGAAAGGTTCAAGTACTGTGAGTTGAATGCCCACATCACAAAGAAGTTTCTGAGAATGCTTTTGTCTAGTTTTTATTTGAAGATATTCACATTTCCAACGAAGGCCTGAAAGCGTTCCAATTATCCATTTGCATATTCTACCAAAAGAGTTTTCCAAAACTGCTCTATGAAAAGGTATGTCCATCTCTGTGAGTTGAATGCAAACCTAACAAAGTAGGTACTGAGAATGATTCTGTCTAGTTTTCATGGGAAGGTATTTCCATTTCCACCATATGCTTCAAAAGTCTCCAAATGTCCACTTGCAGATTCTATAAAAACAGTGTTTCAAAACTGCTCTATCAAAAGAAATGTTCAACTCTCTGAGTTGAATGCCCACATCACAAAGGTGTTTCCGAGAATGCTTCTGTCTAGTTTTTATGTGAAGATATTCCCGTTTCCAACGAGGTCCTTAAAGCAGTCCAAATATCCTCTTGCAGATTCTACAAAAAGAGTGTTTCAAAACTGCTCTACGAAAAGTTATTTTCAACTCTGTGAGTTGAATGCAAATATCACAAAGATGTTTTTGAGAATGCTTCTGTCCAGTTTTTATGTGAAGATATTTCCTTTTCCACTGTAGGCCTCAAAGCTCTCTTGGCTTTGCACTTGCAGATTCTACAAAAAGAATGTTTCAAACTGCTCCTTCAAAAGAGTGGTTCAGCTCTGTGAGTTGAATGGCCTCATCACAAAGAAGTTTCTGAGAATGCTTCTGTCTAATTTTTATGTTAAGATATTTCTGTTTCCACTGAAGGCCTCAAAGCAGTCCAAATATCCCCTTGCAGATACTACGGAAAGAGTTTTTCAAAACTGCGCTATGAAAAGGTATTTCATCTCTGTGACTTGAATGCAAACATCACAAGAAGTTTCTGAAAATGCTTCTGTCTTCTTTTTATGTGAAGGTATATCATTTTCCACCATAGGCCTCAAAGCTTCCCAAATGTCCACTTGCAGATTCTACAAAAAGTCTGTTTCAAAACTGCTCTATCAAAAGAAAAGTTCAACTCTCTGAGTTGAATGCACATATCACAAAGAAGTTTCTGAGAATTCTTCTTTCTATATTTTATGTGAAGGTATTCCCGTTTCCAACAAAGGCCTCAAATCAGTCCAAATATCCACTTGTGGATTCTACGAAAAGAGTGTTTCAAAACTGCTCTATGAAAAGGTATGTTCAACTCTGTGAGTTGAATGCAAACTTCACAGAGGAGATTCTGAGAATGCTTCTGTCCAGTTTTTATGTGGAGATATTTCCTTTTCCACCATAGGCCTCAAAGCTCTCCAAATGACCACTTGCAGATGCTACAAAAACAGTGTTTCAAAACTGTTCTATGAAAATAAAGGTTAACACTGTGAGTTGAATGCAAACATCGCAAAGAAGTTTCTGAAAATGCTTCTGTCTGGTTTATATGTGAAGGTATATCATTTTCCACCATAGGCCTCAAAGCTCTCCAAAAGAACACTTGCAGATGCTACCAAAACAGTGTTTACAAACTGCCCTATCAAAATAAAGGTTAACACAGTGAGTTGAATGCAATCATCACAAAGTAGTTGCTGAGAATGCTTCTTTCTAGTTTTTATATGAAGATATTCCCGTGTCCAACAAAGGCCTCAAATCAGTCCAAATATCCACTGGCAGATTCTACGAAGAGTGTTTCAAAACTGCTCTATGAAAGGGGACGTTCAACTCTGTGAGTTCAATGCAAACATCACAGCGGAGATTCTGAAAATGCTTCTGTCCTGTTTTTATGTGAAGATATTTCTTTTTCCACCATAGGCCTCAAAGCTCTCCAAATGACCACTTGCAGATGCTACAAAAACAGTGTTTCAAAACTGCCCTATCAAAATAAAGGTTAACACAGTGAGTTGAATGCAATCATCACAAAGTAGTTGCTGAGAATGCTTCTGTCTCGTTTTTATGTGAAGATATTCTCGTTTACAATGAAGGCCTCAAAGCAGTCCAAATATACACTTGCAGATTCTACGAAAAGAGTGTTTCAAAACTGCTCTATGAAAAGGTATGTTCAACTCTCTTCGTTGAATGCAAACATCACAAAGAAGTTTCTGAGAATTCTTGTGTCTGGTTTTTATGTGAAGATATTTCCTTTTCCACCGCAGGCTTCCAAGCTCTCCAAATGTCCACTGACAGATTCTACAAAAACGGTTTTTCAAAATTGCTCTATCAATAGAAACCTTCAACTCTGAGAGTTGAATTCAAACATCACAAAGAAGTTTCTGAGAATGCTTCCGTCTAGTTTTTATGTGAAGATATTCCTCTTTCCAACGAAGGCCTCAAAGCAGTCCAAATATCCATTTGCAGATCCTACGAAAAGAGTGTTTCAAAACTGCTCTATGAAAAGGTATGTTCAACTCTGTGAGTTGAATGCAAACGTCACAAACAAATTTCTGAGAATGCTTCTGTCTAGTTTTTATGTGAAGATATTTCCTTCTCCACCACAGGCCTCGAAGCTCTGAAAATTTCCACATGCAGATTCTAAAAAAACAGTGCTTCAAAACAGCTCTATCAAAAGAAAGGTTCAGCTCCGTGAGTTGAATGCACACATCACAAAGAAGGTTCTGAGAATGCTTCTCTCTAGTTTTTATGTGAAGATATTCCCGTTTACAAAGAAGGCCTCAAAGCACTCCATATATCCACTTGCAGATTCTAAAAAAACAGTGCTTCAAAACAGCTCTATCAAAAGAAAGGTTCAGCTCTGTGAGTTGAATGCACACATCACAAAGAAGGCTCTGAGAATGCTTCTCTCTAGTTTTTATGTGAAGATATTCCCGTTTAAAAAGAAGGCCTCAAAGCACTCCATATATCCACTTGCAGATTCTACAAAAAGAGTGTTTCAAAACTGCTCTGTGAAAAGGTATGTTCAACTCTGTGGGTTGAATGCAAACAATACAAAGAAGTTTCTGAGAATGCTTCCATCTGGTTTTTATGTGAAGGTATTTCCTTTTCCACCACAGGCCTGAAAGCTTTCCAAATGTCCACTTGCAGATTCTACAAAAAGAGTGTTTAAAAACTGCTCTGTGAAAAGGTATGTTCAACTCTGTGGGTTGAATGCAAACAATACAAGGAAGTTTCTGAGAATGCTTCTGTCTAGTTTTTATGTGGAGATATTCCCGTTTCCAACGAAGGCCTCTAAGCAGTACAAATATCCACTCTGCAGATTTTGCGAAAAGAGTGTTTCCAAACTGCTCTATCAACAGAAAGGTTCAACTCTGTGAGTTGAATGCACACATCACAAAGAAATTTCCCAGAATTCTTCTGTCTAGTTCTTATGTGAAGATATTCCCGTTTCCGATGAAGGCCTCAAAGCAGTCCAAATATCCACTTGCAGATTCTACGAAACGAGTGTTTCAAAACTGCTCTATGACAAGGTATGTTCAAATCTGTGAGTTGAATGCACACATCACAAAGAACTTTCTGAGAATGCATCTGTCTAGTGTTTATGTAAAGATATTCCTGTTTCCAAAGAAAACCTAAAAGCAGTCCAAATATCCACTTGCAGATTCTACGAAAAGAGTGTTTCAAAACTCCTCTATGAAAAGGTATTTTCAACTTTGTGAGTTGAATGCAAACAGCACAAAGAAGTTTCTCAGAATGCTTCTGTCTGGTTTTTATGTGGAGATATTTTCTTTCTCACCATAGGCCTCAAAGCTCTCCAAATGTCCATTTGCAGATTCTTCAAAAAGAGTGTTTCAAGACTGCTCTATGAAAAGAAAGGTTCAAGTCTGTGAGTTGAATGCCCACATCACAAAGAAGTTTCTGAGAATGCTTTTGTCTAGTTTTTATTTGAAGATATTCACATTTCCAACGAAGGCCTGAAAGCGTTCCAATTATGCATTTGCATATTCTACCAAAAGAGTTTTCCAAAACTGCTCTATGAAAAGGTATGTCCATCTCTGTGAGTTGAATGCAAACATAACAAAGTAGGTACTGAGAATGTTTCTGTCTAGTTTTCATGGGAAGGTATTTCCATTTCCACCATATGCTTCAAAAGTCTCCAAATGTCCACTTGCAGATTCTATAAAAACAGTGTTTCAAAACTGCTCTATCAAAAGAAAGGTTCAACTCTCTGTGTTGAATGCCCCCATCACAAAGGTGTTTCGGAGAATGCTTCTCTCTAGTTTTTATGTGAAGATATTCCCGTTTCCAACGAGGTCCTTAAAGCAGTCCAAATATCCTCTTGCAGATTCTACAAAAAGAGTGTTTCAAAACTGCTCTACGAAAAGTTATTTTCAACTCTGTGAGTTGAATGCAAATATCACAAAGATGTTTTTGAGAATGCTTCTGTTCAGTTTTTATGTGAAGATATTTCCTTTTCCACTGTAGGCCTCAAAGCTCTCTTGGCTTTGCACTTGCAGATTCTACAAAAAGAATGTTTCAAACTGCTCCTTCAAAAGAGTGGTTCAGCTCTGTGAGTTGAATGGCCTCATCACAAAGAAGTTTCTGAGAATGCTTCTGTCTAATTTTTATGTTAAGATATTTCTGTTTCCACTGAAGGCCTCAAAGCAGTCCAAATATCCCCTTGCAGATACTACGGAAAGAGTTTTTCAAAACTGCGCTATGAAAAGGTATTTCATCTCTGTGAGTTGAATGCAAACATCACAAAGAAGTTTCTGAAAATGCTTCTGTCTTCTTTTTATGTGAAGGTATATCATTTTCCACCATAGGCCTCAAAGCTTCCCAAATGTCCACTTGCAGATTCTACAAAAAGTCTGTTTCAAAACTGCTCTATCGAAAGAAAAGTTCAACTCTCTGAGTTGAATGCACATATCACAAAGAAGTTTCTGAGAATTCTTCTTTCTAGATTTTATGTGAAGGTATTCCCGTTTCCAACAAAGGCCTCAAATCAGTCCAAATATCCACTTGTGGATTCTACGAAAAGAGTGTTTCAAAACTGCTCTATGAAAAGGTATGTTCAACTGAGTGAGTTGAATGCAAACATCACAGAGGAGATTCTGAGAATGCTTCTGTCCAGTTTTTATGTGGAGATATTTCCTTTTCCACCATAGGCCTCAAAGCTCTCCAAATGACCACTTGCAGATGCTACAAAAACAGTGTTTCAAAACTGTTCTATGAAAATAAAGGTTAACACTGTGAGTTGAATGCAATCATCACAAATTAGTTGCTGAGAATGCTTCTGTCTGGTTTTTATGTGAAGGTATATCATTTTCCACCATAGGCCTCAAAGCTTCCCAAATGTCCACTTGCAGATTCTGCAAAAAGTCTGTTGCAAAACTGCTCTATCAAAAGAAAAGTTCAACTCTCTGAGTTGAATGCACACATCACAAAGAAGTTTCTGAGAATTCTTCTTTCTAGTTTTTATATGAAGATATTCCCGTGTCCAACAAAGGCCTCCAATCAGTCCAAATATCCACTGGCAGATTCTACGAAAAGTGTTTCAAAACTGCTCTATGAAAGGGGACGTTCAACTCTGTGAGTTCAATGCAAACATCACAGCGGAGATTCTGAAAATGTTTCTGTCTGGTTTATATGTGAAGGTATATCATTTTCCACCATAGGCCTCAAAGCTCTCCAAATGAACACTTGCAGATGCTACCAAAACAGTGTTTACAAACTGCCCTATCAAAATAAAGGTTAACACAGTGAGTTGAATGCAATCATCACAAAGTAGTTGCTGAGAATGCTTCTGTCTCGTTTTCATGTGAAGATATTGTCGTTTACAATGAAGGCCTCAAAGCATTCCAAATATACACTTGCAGATTCTACGAAAAGAGTGCTTCAAAACTGCTCTATGAAAAGGTGTGTTCAACTCTGTGAGTTGAATGCAAACGTCACAAAGAAGTTTCTGAGAATCTTTGTGTCTGGTTTTTATGTGAAGATATTTCCTTTTCCACCGTAGGCCTCCAAGCTCTCCAAATGTCCACTGGCAGATTCTACAAAAACGGTTTTTCAAAACTGCTCTATCAATAGAAAGCTTCAACTCTGTGAGTTGAATTCACACATCACAAACAAGTTTCTGAGAATGCTTCCGTCTAGTTTTTATGTGAAGATATTCCTCTTTCCAACGAAGGCCTCAAAGCAGTCCAAATATCCATTTGCAGATCCTACGAAAAGAGTGTTTCAAAACTGCTCTATGAAAAGGTATGTTCAACTCTGTGAGTTGAATGCAAACGTCACAAACAAGTTTCTGAGAATGCTTCTGTCTAGTTTCTATGTGAAGATATTTCCTTCTCCACCACAGGCCTCGAAGCTCTGAAAATTTCCACATGCAGATTCTAAAAAAACAGTGCTTCAAAACAGCTCTATCAAAAGAAAGGTTCAGCTCTGTGAGTTGAATGCACACATCACAAAGAAGGCTCTGAGAATGCTTCTCTCTAGTTTTTATGTGAAGATATTCCCGTTTACAAAGAAGGCCTCAAAGCACTCAATATATTCACTTGCAGATTCTAAAAAAACAGTGCTTCAAAACAGCTCTATCAAAAGAAAGGTTCAGCTCTGTGAGTTGAATGCACACATCACAAAGAAGGCTCTGAGAATGCTTCTCTCTAGTTTTTATGTGAAGATATTCCCGTTTACAAAGAAGGCCTCAAAGCACTCCATATATCCACTTGCAGATTCTACAAAAAGAGTGTTTCAAAACTGCTCTGTGAAAAGGTATGTTCAACTCTGTGGGTTGAATGCAAACAATACAAAGAAGTTTCTGAGAATGCTTCCATCTGGTTTTTATGTGAAGGTATTTCCTTTTCCACCACAGGCCTCAAAGCTTTCCAAATGTCCACTTGCAGATTCTACAAAAAGAGTGTTTAAAAACTGCTCTGTGAAAAGGTATGTTCAACTCTGTGGGTTGAATGCAAACAATACAAAGAAGTTTCTGAGAATGCTTCTGTCTAGTTTTTATGTGGAGATATTCCCGTTTCCAACGAAGGCCTCTAAGCAATACAAATATCCACTTTGCAGATTTTGCGAAAAGAGTGTTTCCAAACTGCTCTATCAACAGAAAGTTTCAACTCTGTGAGTTGCATGCACACATCACAAAGAAATTTCCCAGAATTCTTCTGTCTAGTTCTTATGTGAAGATATTCCCGTTTCCGACGAAGGCCTCAAAGCAGTCCAAATATCCACTTGCAGATTCTACGAAACGAGTGTTTCAAAACTGCTCTATGACAAGATATGTTCAAATCTGTGAGTTGAATGCACACATCACAAAGAACTTTCTGAGAATGCATCTGTCTAGTGTTTATGTAAAGATATTCCTGTTTCCAAAGAAAACCTAAAAGCAGTCCAAATATCCACTTGCAGATTCTATGAAAAGAGTGTTTCAAAACTCCTCTATGAAAAGGTATTTTCAACTTTGTGAGTTGAATGCAAACAGCACAAAGAAGTTTCTCAGAATGCTTCTGTCTGGCTTTTATGTGAAGATATTTTCTTTCTCACCATAGGCCTCAAAGCTCTCCAAATGTCCACTTGCCGATTCTTCAAAAAGAGTGTTTCAAGACTGCTCTATGAAAAGAAAGGTTCAAGTCTGTGAGTTGAATGCCCACATCACAAAGAAGTTTCTGAGAATGCTTTTGTCTAGTTTTTATTTGAAGATATTCACATTTCCAACGAAGGCCTGAAAGCGTTCCAATTATCCATTTGCATATTCCACCAAAAGAGTTTTCCAAAACTGCTCTATGAAAAGGTATGTCCATCTCTGTGAGTTGAATGCAAACATAACAAAGTAGGTACTGAGAATGTTTCTGTCTAGTTTTCATGGGAAGGTATTTCCATTTCCACCATATGCTTCAAAAGTCTCCAAATGTCCACTTGCAGATTCTATAAAAACAGTGTTTCAAAACAGCTCTATCAAAAGAAAGGTTCAACTCTCTGAGTTGAATGCCCACATCACAAAGGTGTTTCTGAGAATGCTTCTGTCTAGTTTTTATGTGAAGATATTCCCGTTTCCAACGAGGTCCTTAAAGCAGTCCAAATATCCTCTTGCAGATTCTACAAAAAGAGTGTTTCAAAACTGCTCTATGAAAAGTTATTTTCAACTCTGTGAGTTGAATGCAAATATCACAAAGATGTTTTTGAGAATGCTTCTGTCCAGTTTTTATGTGAAGATATTTCCTTCTCCACTGTAGGCCTCAAAGCTCTCTTGGCTTTGCACTTGCAGATTCTACAAAAAGAATGTTTCAAACTGCTCCTTCAAAAGACTGGTTCAGCTCTGTGAGTTGAATGGCCTCATCACAAAGAAGTTTCTGAGAATGCTTCTGTCTAATTTTTATGTTAAGATATTTCTGTTTCCACTGAAGGCCTCAAAGCAGTCCAAATATCCCCTTGCAGATACTACGAAAAGAGGTTTTCAAAACTGCGCTATGAAAAGGTATTTCATCTCTGTGACTTGAATGCAAACATCACAAAGAAGTTTCTGAAAATGCTTCTGTCTTCTTTTTATGTGAAGGTATATCATTTTCCACCATAGGCCTCAAAGCTTCCCAAATGTCCACTTGCAGATTCTGCAAAAAGTCTGTTTCAAAACTGCTCTATCAAAAGAAAAGTTCAACTCTCTGAGTTGAATGCACACATCACAAAGAAGTTTCTGAGAATTCTTCTTTCTAGATTTTATGTGAAGGTATTCCCGTTTCCAACAAAGGCCTCAAATCAGTCCAAATATCCACTTGTGGATTCTACGAAAAGAGTGTTTCAAAACTGCTCTATGAAAAGGTATGTTCAACTCTGTGAGTTGAATGCAAACATCACAGAGGAGATTCTGAGAATGCTTCTGTCCAGTTTTTATGTGGAGATATTTCCTTTTCCACCATAGGCCTCAAAGCTCTCCAAATGACCACTTGCAGATGCTACAAAAACAGTGTTTCAAAACTGTTCTATGAAAATAAAGGTTAACACTATGAGTTGAATGCAAACATCGCAAAGAAGTTTCTGAAAATGCATCTGTCTGGTTTTTATGTGAAGGTATATCATTTTCCACCATAGGCTTCAAAGCTTCCCAAATGTCCACTTGCAGATTCCGCAAAAAGTCTGTTTCAAAACTGCTCTATCAAAAGAAAAGTTCAACTGCTGCTGAGTTGAATGCACACATCACAAAGAAGTTTCTGAGAATTCTTCTTTCTAGTTTTTATATGAAGATATTCCCGTGTCCAACAAAGGCCTCCAATCAGTCCAAATATCCACTGGCAGATTCTACGAAGAGTGTTTCAAAACTGCCCTATGAAAAGGGACGTTCAACTCTGTGAGTTGAATGCAAACATCACAGCGGAGATTCTGAAAATGCTTCTGTCCTGTTTTTATGTGAAGATATTTCCTTTTCCACCATAGGCCTCAAAGCTCTCCAAATGACCACTTGCAGATGCTACAAAAACAGTGTTTCCAAACTGCCCTATCAAAATAAAGGTTAACACAGTGAGTTGAATGCAATCATCACAAAGTAGTTGCTGAGAATGCTTCTGTCTCGTTTTTATGTGAAGATATTCTCGTTTACAATGAAGGCCTCAAAGCATTCCAAATATACACTTGCAGATTCTACGAAAAGACTGCTTCAAAACTGCTCTATGAAAAGGTGTGTTCAACTCTGTGAGTTGAATGCAAACGTCACAAAGAAGTTTCTGAGAATCTTTGTGTCTGGTTTTTATGTGAAGATATTTCCTTTTCCACCGTAGGCCTCAAAGCTCTCCAAATATCCACTGGCAGATTCTACAAAAACGGTTTTTCAAAACTGCTCTATCAATAGAAAGCTTCAACTCTGTGAGTTGAATTCACACATCACAAAGAAGTTTCTGAGAATGCTTCCTTCTAGTTTTTATGTGAAGATATTCCTCTTTCCAACGAAGGCCTCAAAGCAGTCCAAATATCCATTTGCAGATCCTACGAAAAGAGTGTTTCAAAACTGCTCTATGAAAAGGTATGTTCAACTCTGTGAGTTGAATGCAAACGTCACAAACAAGTTTCTGAGAATGCTTCTGTCTAGTTTTTATGTGAAGATATTTCCTTCTCCACCACAGGCCTCGAAGCTCTGAAAATTTCCACATGCAGATTCTAAAAAAACAGTGCTTCAAAACAGCTCTATCAAAAGAAAGGTTCAGCTCCGTGAGCTGAATGCACACATCACAAAGAAGGCTCTGAGAATGCTTCTCTCTAGTTTTTATGTGAAGATATTCCCGTTTACAAAGAAGGCCTCAAAGCACTCAATATATCCACTTGCAGATTCTAAAAAAACAGTGCTTCAAAACAGCTCTATCAAAAGAAAGGTTCAGCTCTGTGAGTTGAATGCACACATCACAAAGAAGGCTCTGAGAATGCTTCTCTCTAGTTTTTATGTGAAGATATTCCCGTTTACAAAGAAGGCCTCAAAGCACTCCATATATCAACTTACAGATTCTACAAAAGGAGTGTTTCAAAACTGCTCTGTGAAAAGGTATGTTCAACTCTGTGGGTTGAATGCAAACAATACAAAGAAGTTTCTGAGAATGCTTCCATCTGGTTTTTATGTGAAGGTATTTCCTTTTCCACCACAGGCCTCAAAGCTTTCCAAATGTCCACTTGCAGATTCTACAAAAAGAGTGTTTAAAAACTGCTCTCTCAAAAGGAAGATTCAACTCTTTGTGTTGAATGTGCAGATCACAAAGAAGTTTCTGAGAATGCTTCTGTCTAGTTTTTATGTGGAGACATTCCCGTTTCCAACGAAGGCCTCTAAGCAGTACAAATATCCACTCTGCAGATTTTGCCAAAAGAGTGTTTCCAAACTGCTCTATCAACAGAAAGGTTCAACTCTGTGAGTTGGATGCACACATCACAAAGAAATTTCCCAGAATTCTTCTGTCTAGTTCTTATGTGAAGATATTCCCGTTTCCGACGAAGGCCTCAAAGCAGTCCAAATATCCACTTGCAGATTCTACGAAACGAGTGTTTCAAAACTGCTCTATGACAAGGTATGTTCAAATCTGTGAGTTGAATGCACACATCACAAAGAACTTTCTGAGAATGCATCTGTCTAGTTTTTATGTAAAGATATTCCTGTTTCCAAAGAAAACCTAAAAGCAGTCCAAATATCCACTTGCAGATTCTACGAAAAGAGTGTTTCAAAACTCCTCTATGAAAAGGTATTTTCAACTTTGTGAGTTGAATGCAAACAGCACAAAAAAGTTTCTCAGAATGCTTCTGTCTGGTTTTTATGTGAAGATATTTTCTTTCTCACCATAGGCCTCAAAGCTCTCCAAATGTCCACTTGCCGATTCTTCAAAAAGAGTGTTTCAAGACTGCTCTATGAAAAGAAAGGTTCAAGTCTGTGAGTTGAATGCCCACATCACAAAGAAGTTTCTGAGAATGCTTTTGTCTAGTTTTTATTTGAAGATATTCACATTTCCAACGAAGGCCTGAAAGCGTTCCAATTATCCATTTGCATATTCCACCGAAAGAGTTTTCCAAAACTGCTCTATGAAAAGGTATGTCCATCTCTGTGAGTTGAATGCAAACATAACAAAGTAGGTAATGAGAATGTTTCTATCTAGTTTTTATGTGAGGCTATTTCCTTTTCCACCGTAGGCCTCAAAGCTCTCCAAATGTCCACTTGCAGATTGTACAAAGTAAGTGCTTCAAAACTGCTCTATCAAAAGAAAGGTTCAAATCTCTGAGTTGAATGCCCACATCAAAAAAGGTGTTTCTGAGAATGCTTCTGTCTACTTTTTATGTGAAGATATTCCCGTTTCCAACGAGGTCCTTAAAGCAGTCCAAATATCCTCTTGCAGATTCTACAAAAAGAGTGTTTCAAAACTGCTCTACGAAAAGTTATTTTCAACTCTGTGAGTTGAATGCAAATATCACAAAGATGTTTTTGAGAATGCTTCTGTCCAGTTTTTATGTGAAGATATTTCCTTTTCCACTGTAGGCCTCAAAGCTCTCTTGGCTTTGCACTTGCAGATTCTACAAAAACAATGTTTCAAACTGCTCCTTCAAAAGAGTGGTTCAGCTCTTTGAGTTGAATGGCCTCATCACAAAGAAGTTTGTGAGAATGCTTCTGTCTAATTTTTATGTTAAGATATTTCTGTTTCCACTGAAGGCCTCAAAGCAGTCCAAATATCCCCTTGCAGATACTACGAAAAGAGTTTTTCAAAACTGCGCTATGAAAAGGTATTTCATCTCTGTGAGTTGAATGCAAACATCACAAAGAAGTTTCTGAAAATGCTTCTGTCTTCTTTTTATGTGAAGGTATATCATTTTCCACCATAGGCCTCAAAGCTTCCCAAATGTCCACTTGCAGATTCTACAAATGTCTGTTTCAAAACTGCTCTATCAAAACAAAAGTTCAACTCTCTGAGTTGAATGCACATATCACAAAGAAGTTTCTGAGAATTCTTCTTTCTAGATTTTATGTGAAGGTATTCCCGTTTCCAACAAAGGCCTCAAATCAGTCCAAATATCCACTTGTGGATTCTACGAAAGGAGTGTATCAAAACTGCTCTATGAAAAGGTATGTTCAACTCTGTGAGTTGAATGCAAACATCACAGAGGAGATTCTGAGAATGCTTCTGTCCAGTTTTTATGTGGAGATATTTCCTTTTCCACCATAGGCCTCAAAGCTCTCCAAATGACCACTTGCAGATGCTACAAAAAGAGTGTTTCAAAAATGTTCTATGAAAATAAAGGTTAACACTGTGAGTTGAATGCAAACATCGCAAAGAAGTTTCTGAAAATGCTTCTGTCTGGTTTCTATGTGAAGGTATATCATTTTCCACCATAGGCCTCAAAGCTTCCCAAATGTCCACTTGCAGATTCTGCAAAAAGTCTGTTTCAAAACTGCTCTATCAAAAGAAAAGTTCAACTCTCTGAGTTGAATGCACACATCACAAAGAAGTTTCTGAGAATTCTTCTTTCTAGTTTTTATATGAAGATACTCCCGTGTCCAACAAAGGCCTCAAATCAGTCCAAATATCCACTGGCAGATTCTACGAAGAGTGTTTCAAAACTGCTCTATGAAAAGGGACGTTCAACTGTGTGAGTTCCATGCAAACATCAGAGCGGAGATTCTGAAAATGCTTCTGTCCTGTTTTTATGTGAAGATATTTCCTTTTCCACCATAGGCCTCAAAGCTCTCCAAATGACCACTTGCAGATGCTACAAAAACAGTGTTTCAAAACTGCCCTATCAAAATAAAGGTTAACACAGTGAGTTGAATGCAATCATCACAAAGTAGTTGCTGAGAATGCTTCTGTCTCGTTTTTATGTGAAGATATTCTCGTTTACAATGAAGGCCTCAAAGCATTCCAAATATACACTTGCAGATTCTACGAAAAGACTGCTTCAAAACTGCTCTATGAAAAGGTGTGTTCAACTCTGTGAGTTGAGTGCAAGCGTCACAAAGAAGTTTCTGAGAATCTTTGTGTCTGGTTTTTATGTGAAGATATTTCCTTTTCCACCGTAGGCCTCCAAGCTCTCCAAATGTCCACTGGCAGATTCTACAAAAAACGGTTTTTCAAAACTGCTCTATCAATAGAAAGCTTCAACTCTGTGAGTTGAATTCACACATCACAAAGAAGTTTCTGAGAATGCTTCCGTCTAGTTTTTATGTGAAGATATTCCTCTTTCCAACGAAGGCCTCAAAGCAGTCCAAATATCCATTTGCAGATCCTACGAAAAGAGTGTTTCAAAATTGCTCTATGAAAAGGTATGTTCAACTCTGTGAGTTGAATGCAAACGTCACAAACAAGTTTCTGAGAATGCTTCTGTCTAGTTTTTATGTGAAGATATTTCCTTCTCCACCACAGGCCTCGAAGCTCTGAAAATTTCCACATGCAGATTCTATAAAAACAGTGCTTCAAAACAGCTCTATCAAAAGAAAGGTTCAGCTCTGTGAGTTGAATGCACACATCACAAAGAAGGCTCTGAGAATGCTTCTCTCTAGTTTTTATGTGAAGATATTCCCGTTTACAAAGAAGGCCTCAAAGCACTCCATATATCCACCTGCAGATTCTAAAAAAACAGTGCTTCAAAACAGCTCTATCAAAAGAAAGGTTCAGCTCTGTGAGTTGAATGCACACATCACAAAGAAGGCTCTGAGAATGCTTCTCTCTAGTTTTTATGTGAAGATATTCCCGTTTACAAAGAAGGCCTCAAACCACTCCGTATATCCACTTGCAGATTCTACAAAAAGAGTGTTTCAAAACTGCTCTGTGAAAAGGTATGTTCAACTCTGTGGGTTGAATGCAAACAATACAAAGAAGTTTCTGAGAATGCTTCCATCTGGTTTTTATGTGAAGGTATTTCCTTTTCCACCACAGGCCTCAAAGCTTTCCAAATGTCCACTTGCAGATTCTACAAAAAGAGTGTTTAAAAACTGCTCTATCAAAAGGAAGACTCAACTCTTTGTGTTGAATGTGCAGATCACAAAGAAGTTTCTGAGAATGCTTCTGTCTAGTTTTTATGTGGAGATATTCCCGTTTCCAACGAAGGCCTCTAAGCAGTACAAATATCCACTTTGCAGATTTTGCGAAAAGAGTGTTTCCAAACTGCTCTATCAACAGAAAGGTTCAACTCTGTGAGTTGAATGCACACATCACAAAGAAATTTCCCAGAATTCTTCTGTCTAGTTCTTATGTGAAGATATTCCCGTTTCCGACGAAGGCCTCAAAGCAGTCCAAATATCCACTTGCAGATTCTACGAAACGAGTGTTTCAAAACTGCTCTATGACAAGGTATGTTCATATCTGTGAGTTGAATGCACACATCACCAACAACTTTCTGAGAATGCATCTGTCTAGTTTTTATGTAAAGATATTCCTGTTTCCAAAGAAAACCTAAAAGCAGTCCAAATATCCACTTGCAGATTGTACGAAAAGAGTGTTTCAAAACTCCTCTATGAAAAGGTATTTTCAACTTTGTGAGTTGAATGCAAACAGCACAAAGAAGTTTCTCAGAATGCTTCTGTCTGGTTTTTATGTGAAGATATTTTCTTTCTCACCATAGGCCTCAAAGCTCTCCAAATGTCCACTTGCTGATTCTTCAAAAAGAGTGTTTCAAGACTGCTCTATGAAAGGAAAGGTTCAAGCCTGTGAGTTGAATGCCCACATCACAAAGAAGTTTCTGAGAATGCTTTTGTCTAGTTTTTATTTGAAGATATTCACATTTCCAACGAAGGCCTGAAAGCGTTCCAATTATCCATTTGCATATTCTACCAAAAGAGTTTTCCAAAACTGCTCTATGAAAAGGTATGTCCATCTCTGTGAGTTGAATGCAAACATAACAAAGTAGGTACTGAGAATGTTTCTGTCTAGTTTTCATGGGAAGGTATTTCCATTTCCACCATATGCTTCAAAAGTCTCCAAATGTCCACTTGCAGATTCTATAAAAACAGTGTTTCAAAACTGCTCTATCAAAAGAAAGGTTCAACTCTCTGAGTTGAATGCCCACATCACAAAGGTGTTTCTGAGAATGCTTCTGTCTAGTTTTTATGTGAAGATATTCCCGTTTCCAACGAGGTCCTTAAAGCAGTCCAAATATCCTCTTGCAGATTCTACAAAAAGAGTGTTTCAAAACTGCTCTACGAAAAGTTATTTTCAAATCTGTGAGTTGAATGCAAATATCACAAAGATGTTTTTGAGAATGCTTCTGTCCAGTTTTTATGTGAAGATATTTCTTTTTCCACTGTAGGCCTCAAAGCTCTCCAAATGTCCACTTGCAGATTCTACAAAAAGAATGTTTCAAACTGCTCCTTCAAAAGAGTGGTTCAGCTCTGTGAGTTGAATGGCCTCATCACAAAGAAGTTTCTGAGAATGCTTCTGTCTAATTTTTATGTTAAGATATTTCTGTTTCCACTGAAGGCCTCAAAGCAGTCCAAATATCCCCTTGCAGATACTACGAAAAGATTTTTTCAAAACTGCGCTATGAAAAGGTATTTCATCTCTGTGAGTTGAATGCAAACATCACAAAGAAGTTTCTGAAAATGCTTCTGTCTTCTTTTTATGTGAAGGTATATCATTTTCCACCATAGGCCTCAAAGCTTCCCAAATGTCCACTTGCAGATTCTACAAAAAGTCTGTTTCAAAACTGCTCTATGAAAAGAAAAGTTCAACTCTCTGAGTTGAATGCACATATCACAAAGAAGTTTCTGAGAATTCTTCTTTCTAGATTTTATGTGAAGGTATTCCCGTTTCCAACAAAGGCCTCAAATCAGTCCAAATAACCACTTGTGGATTCTACGAAAAGAGTGTTTCAAAACTGCTCTATGAAAAGGTATGTTCAACTCTGTGAGTTGAATGCAAACATCACAGAGGAGATTCTGAGAATGCTTCTGTCCAGTTTTTATGTGGAGATATTTCCTTTTCCACAATAGGCCTCAAAGCTCTCCAAATGACCACTTGCAGATGCTACAAAAACAGTGTTTCAAAACTGTTCTATGAAAATAAAGGTTAACACTGTGAGTTGAATGCAAACATCGCAAAGAAGTTTCTGAAAATGCATCTGTCTGGTTTTTATGTGAAGGTATATCATTTTCCACCATAGGCCTCAAAGCTTCCCAAATGTCCACTTGCAGATTCTGCAAAAAGTCTGTTTCAAAACTGCTCTATCAAAAGAAAAGTTCAACTCTCTGAGTTGAATGCACACATCACAAAGAAGTTTCTGAGAATTCTTCTTTCTAGTTTTTATATGAAGATATTCCCGTGTCCAACAAAGGCCTCAAATCAGTCCAAATATCCACTGGCAGATTCTACGAAGAGTGTTTCAAAACTGCTCTATGAAAAGGGACGTTCAACTCTGTGAGTTCAATGCAAACATCACAGCGGAGATTCTGAAAATGCTTCTGTCCTGTTTTTATGTGAAGATATTTCCTTTTCCACCATAGGCCTCAAAGCTCTCCAAATGACCACTTGCAGATGCTACAAAAACAGTGTTTCAAAACTGCCCTATCAAAATAAAGATTAACACAGTGAGTTGAATGCAATCATCACAAAGTAGTTGCTGAGAATTCTTCTGTCTCGTTTTTATGTGAAGATATTCTCGTTTACAATGAAGGCCTCAAAGCATTCCAAATATACACTTGCAGATTCTACGAAAAGAGTGCTTCAAAACTGCTCTATGAAAAGGTGTGTTCAACTCTGTGAGTTGAGTGCAAGCGTCACAAAGAAGTTTCTGAGAATCTTTGTGTCTGGTTTTTATGTGAAGATATTTCCTTTTCCACCGTAGGCCTCAAAGCTCTCCAAATATCCACTGGCAGATTCTACAAAAACGGTTTTTCAAAACTGCTCTATCAATAGGAAGCTTCAACTCTGTGAGTTGAATTCACACATCACAAAGAAGTTTCTGAGAATGCTTCCGTCTAGTTTTTATGTGAAGATATTCCTCTTTCCAACGAAGGCCTCAAAGCAGTCCAAATATCCACTTGCAGATCCTACGAAAAGAGTGTTTCAAAACTGCTCTATGAAAAGGTATGTTCAACTCTGTGAGTTGAATGCAAACGTCACAAACAAGTTTCTGAGAATGCTTCTGTCTAGTTTTTATGTGAAGATATTTCCTTCTCCACCACAGGCCTCGAAGCTCTGAAAATTTCCACATGCGGATTCTAAAAAAACAGTGCTTCCAAACAGCTCTATGAAAAGAAAGGTTCAGCTCTGTGAGTTGAATGCACACATCACAAAGAAGGCTCTGAGAATGCTTCTCTCTAGTTTTTATGTGAAGATATTCCCGTTTACAAAGAAGGCCTCAAAGCACTCAATATATCCACTTGCAGATTCTAAAAAAACAGTGCTTCAAACACCTCTATCAAAAGAAAGGTTCAGCTCTGTGAGTTGAATGCACACATCACAAAGAAGGCTCTGAGAATGCTTCTCTCTAGTTTTTATGTGAAGATATTCCCGTTTACAAAGAAGGCCTCAAAGCACTCCATATATCCACTTGCAGATTCTACAAAAAGAGTGTTTCAAAACTGCTCTGTGAAAAGGTGTGTTCAACTCAGTGGGTTGAATGCAAACAATACAAAGAAGTTTCTGAGAATGCTTCCGTCTGGTTTTTATGTGAAGGTATTTCCTTTTCCACCACAGGCCTCAAAGCTTTCCAAATGTCCACTTGCAGATTCTACAAAAAGAGTGTTTAAAAACTGCTCTATCAAAAGGAAGATTCTACTCTTTGTGTTGAATGTGCAGATCACAAAGAAGTTTCTGAGAATGCTTCTGTCTAGTTTTTATGTGGAGATATTCCCGTTTCCAACGAAGGCCTCTAAGCAGTACAAATATCCACTCTGCAGATTTTGCGAAAAGAGTGTTTCCAAACTGCTCTATCAACAGAAAGGTTCAACTCTGTGAGTTGAATGCACACATCACAAAGAAATTCCCCAGAATTCTTCTGTCTAGTTCTTATGTGAAGATATTCCCGTTTCCGACGAAGGCCTCAAAGAAGTCCAAATACCCAGTTGCAGATTCTACGAAACGAGTGTTTCAAAACTGCTCTATGACAAGGTATGTTCAAATCTGTGATTTGAATGCACACATCACAAAGAACTTTCTGAGAATGCA
>NC_000014.9:16282982-16346517 GCF_000001405.40 Homo sapiens | reverse complement strand
TCTGTCTACTTTACATGTGAGGCTATTTCTTGTTCACCATAGGCCTCAAGCAGCTAAGAAATTTCCCTCTGCAGCTTCTACAAAAGACTGGTTCCAAACTGCTCAACTGAAAGGAAGGTTGAATTCTGTGACATGAATTCACACATCACAAAGAGGTTTTTCAGAAATCTTCTGTCTACTTTTTACGTGAAGACATTTCATATTTCAACAAAGGCCATAAAGGGCTCACAAATATCCCTTTGCAGATTCTAAGAAAAGACATTTTCCAAACTCCTCAATCAAAAGAAAGGTTTCACTCTGTGCGATGAATGGACACATCACAAAGAAGTTTCTCAGAAAGCTACTGTGTCGTTTTTATGTGAAGACGTTTCCTTTTTCACTCTAGGCCTTAAAACTCTCTAAATATACATTCACAGATTCTACAAAAAGACTGATTCCAAACTGCTCAATCAGAAGAAAAGTTCAATTCCGTGTGACAAACTTGCACATCACAAAGCAATTTGTCAGAAAGCTTTTGTCTAGTTTTCATGTGAAGATATTTATTTTTCACCATTGGCCCCAAACGGCTCAGAAATGTCCCTTTGCAGTTTGTAGGAAAAGACTGTTTCCAAACTGCTCAATGAGAAGAAATGGTCAACTATTAGAGATGAATGGACATGTCACAAAGAGTTTTCTCAAAAAGCTTCTGTCTGCATTTTATGTGAAGGTATTTCCTTTGGCACCGTAGGCCTTAAACCACTCACAAACATAACTCCGCTTATACTACCAAGAGACTTTCTCCAAATTGCTAAATCAAAAGAAACGTTCAACTCTGGGAGATGAATACACACATCAAAAAGAAGTTTCTCAAAATGCTTCTGTCTAGTTTTTATGTGAAGATATTTCCTTCTTCACCGTAGGCCGCAAATTGCTCCAAATATCCATTTGCGGATTCTACAGAAAGAATGTTTCCAAACTGGTCAATCAAAAGAAAGGCTCAACTCTGTGAGACGAAAGCACACATCACAAAGAAGTTTCTCAGAAAGCTTCTGTCT
The DNA here is from genome assembly GCF_000001405.40 of Homo sapiens. Lineage (NCBI taxonomy): Eukaryota > Metazoa > Chordata > Mammalia > Primates > Hominidae > Homo > Homo sapiens. The sequence continues at coordinate 16,345,483 of NC_000014.9, read as the reverse complement.
GGTTATTATGTGAAGATATTTCCTTTTTCACCATAGTCTTTAAACCACTCAAAAATATCCCTCTGCAGGTACTACAAAAAGACTGTTTCCAAACTGGTCCATATAGAATGTTTCAACTATGTGAGTTGAATGCACTCATCACAAAGAAGTTTCTCAGAATTCTCCTGTCTAGTTTTTATGACAAGATAATTCCTATTTTGCCATAGGAATCAAGGGGCTCACAAATATCCCTTTGCAGATTCTACAAAAGTTCTGTTTACAAACCTCTCAATCAAAAGAAACGTTCAACATTGTGAGATGAATGAACACATCACAAAGAAGTTTCTCAGAATGCTTCTGTCTAGATTTTATGTGAAGATATTTCCATTTTCACCTTAGGCCACAAAGCGCTCCAAACATCCCTTTGCAGATGATACGAAAAGACTGTTTCCAAACTGCTCAATCAAAAGAAATTTTCAACTCTGTGAGATGAAAGCACCCATCACAAAAAAGTTTCTCAGAAATCTTCTCTCTAGTTTTTATGTGTAGATATTTCCTTTTTCAGCGTAGTCCTTACACCGCTCACAAATATCCTTCTGCAGATACTAGAAAAAGACTGTTTCCAAACTGCTCCATCAAAAGAAAATTTCACCTACCTGAGATGAATGCACACATCACAAAGAAGTTTCTCAGAATTCTTCTGTCTAGTTTAAATGTGAAGATAATCCTTTTTCACCACAGACCTCAAATGGCTCAGAAATATACCTTTGCAGATTGCAGAAAGAGACTGTCTCTAAACTGCTCAAATAAAATAAAGTTTCAACACTGTGAGATGAATGCACACATCACAAAGAAGTTTCTCAGAAAGCTCCTGTCTAGTTTCTATGTGAAGATATTTACTATTTCACTATAGGCTTCAAAGGTCTCAAAAATATCCCTTTGCAGATTCTACAAAAATATGGTTTCCACAGTGCTGAATTAAAAGAAACCTTCAACTCTGTCAGATGAATGGAGACATCACAAAGAAGTTCCTCGGAATGCTTCGGTCTACTTTTCATGTGAAGATATTTCCAGTTTCACCGTAGGCCTCAAAGGGCTAAGAAATATCCCTTTCCAGATTCTAAAAGACGACCGTTTCCATACTTCTGAATCCAAAGAAAGGTTAAATTCTCTGAGGTTAATGCCCACGTCAGAATGAAGTTTCTCAGAATTCTTCTGTTTAGTTTTTATGTAAAGATATTTCCTTTGCCACCATTGGCCTCATATCAGTCTTAATAACTATTTACAGATTTCACAAAAAGAGTGTTTCCAAACAGCTCAATCAAAAGAAAGTGTTTAACTCTGTGAGGTGAAAGCACACATCTCAATGAAGTTTCTCAGAAAGCTTCTGTCTAGTTTATATGTGAAGAAGATTCCTATTTCACCATAGGCAATAAAGGGCTCGCAAATATGTTTTGCAGATTCTACAAAAAGACTGTATCCAAACTGCTCAATAAAAAGAAAGTTTTAACTCTGTTAGATTAACGGACACATCGAAAAGGAGTTTCTCAGAAAACTTCTGTCTAGTTTTTATGTGAAGATACTTCACAGTGCATCATAGTACTCAATGGGCTCAGAAGTATCCCTTGGCAGATTCTACAAAAGGACTGTTTCAAAACTGCTCAATCCAAAGAAAGTTTCAACTATGTGAGATGAATGCACACATCACAAAGAAGTTCCTCAGAATGTTTCTGTTTAGTTTTTACGCGAAGATGTTTCGTTTTTCCACATGGGCCTCAAAATCTCTCCAAATATCCATTTGCAGATTATAGAAAAAGAGTGTTTCCAAACTCCTCAATCAAAAGAAAGTTTCAATTCTGTGAGATGAAAGCACACATCACACCGAAGTTTCTTAGAAAGCTTCTGTCTAGTTTTTATGTGAAGATATTTCTCTTTCACCATAGGCCTCAAATGGATCAGAATTATCCCTTTGCGGATTGTACAATAAGCCTCTTTCCAACCTGCTCAATCAAAAGAAAGGTTCAACTCTGTGAGGTGAATGCACACATCACAAGGAAGTTTCTCAGAAAGCTCCTGTCTAGTTTTTGTGTGAAGATACTTCGTATTTCACCACAGGCCATAAGGGGCTCACAAATATCCCTTTGCAGGTTCTACAAAAAGACAGTTTCCAAACTGCTCAATCAAAAGAAAGGTTCAACTCTGTGACGTGAATGGACACATCACAAAAAATTTCTCGGAATGATTCTGTCTAGTTTTTATGTGAAGATACTTCCTTTTTCACCAAGGACCTCAAATATCTCCAAATATCCATTTGCAGATTCTACAGAAAGACTTCCCAAACTGCTCAATCAAAAGAAAGGTTCAACACAGTGAGATGAAGGCACACATCACAAAGAAGTTTCTCAGAAATCTTCTGTCTAGTTTTTATGTGAAGATATTTCTTTTTCACCATAGGCCTCAAAGGTCTAAGAAATTTCCCTTTGCAGCTTCTACAAAAGACTGTCTCCAACTGCTGAATCAAAAGAAAGGTTGAATTCTGTGACATGAATTCACACATCACAAAGAAGTTTCTCAGAAATCTTCTGTCTACTTTTTATGTGAAGATATTTCATATTTCAACAAAGGCCATAAAGGGCTCACAAATATCCCTTTGCAGATTCTAAGAAAAGACATTTTACAAACTCCTCAATCAAAAGAAAGGTTCCACTCTGTGCGATGAATGGACACATCACAAAGAAGTTTCTCAGAAAGCTACTGTGTCGTTTTTATGTGAAGACATTGCCTCTTGCACCCTAGGCCTTAAAACTCTCTAAATACACATTCACAGATTCTACAAAAAGACTGATTCCAAACTGCTCAATCAGAAGAAGGGTTCAATTCCGTGTGACAAACGTGCACATCACTAAGAAATTTGTCAGAAAGCTTCTGTCTAGTTTTCATGGGAAGATATTTATTTTTCACCGTTGGCCCCAAACCGCTCAGAAATATCCCTTTGCAGTTTGTAGAAAAAGACTGCTTCCAAACTGCTCAATGAAAGGAAATGGCCAACTATTAGAGATGAATGGAAATGTCACAAAGAGTTTTCTCAAACAGCTTCTGTCTGCATTTTATGTCAAGGTATTTCCTTTGGCACCATAGGCCTTAAACCGCTCGCAAATATAACTCCACTTATACTACCAAGAGACTTTCTCCAAATTGCTAAATGAAAAGAAAGGTTCAACTCTGTGAGATGAATACACACATCAAAAAGAAGTTTCTCAAAATGCTCCTGTCTAGTTTTTATGTGAAGATATTTCCTTTTTCACCATAGGCCACAAATTGCTCCAAATATCCATTTGCAGATTCTACAAAAAGAATGTTCCCAAACTGGTCAATCAACAGAAAGGCGCAACTCTGTGAGACGAAAGCACACATCACAAAGAAGTTTCTCGGAAAGCCTCTGTCTGGTTACTCTGTGAAGATATTTCTTTTTTCACCACAGTCTTTAAGCCACTCAAAAATATCTGTCTGCAGACACTACAAAAAGACTGTTTCCAAACTGGCCCATATAGCATTTTTCAACTATGTGAAATGAATGCACTCATCAAAGAGAAGTTTCTCAGAATTCTTCTGTCTAGTTTTTATCTCAAGATAATTCCTATTTTGCCATAGGAATCAAGGGGCTCACAAATATCCCTTTGCAGATTCTACAAAAGTTCTGTTTACAAACCTCTCAATCAAAAGAAACGTTCAACATTGTGAGATGAATGAACACATCACAAAGAAAGTTTCTCAGAATGCTTCTGTCTAGATTTTATGTGAAGATATTTCCATTTTCACCTTAGGCCACAAAGCGCTCCAAACATCCCTTTGCAGATGATACGAAAAGACTGTTTCCAAACTGCTCAATCAAAAGAAACTTTCAACTCTGTGAGATGAAAGCACCCATCACAAAAAAGTTTCTCAGAAATCTTCTGTCTAGTTTTTATGTGAAGATATTTGCTTTTTCAGCATAGTCCTTACACCGCTCACAAATATCCTTCTGCAGATACTAGAAAAAGACTGTTTCCAAACTGCTCCATCAAAAGAAAATTTCACCTACCTGAGATGAATGCACACGTCATAAAGAAGTTTCTCAGAATTCTTCTGTCTAGTTTAAATGTGAAGATATTTCTCTTTCACCACAGACCTCAAATGGCTCAGAAATATGCCTTTGCAGATTGCAGAAAAAGACTGTCTCTAAGCTGCTCAAATAAAATAAAGTTTCAACACTGTGAGATGAATGCACACATCACAAAGAAGTTTCTCAGAAAGCTCCTGTCTAGTTTCTATGTGAAGATATTTACTATTTCACTGTAGGCTTCAAAGGTCTCAAAAATATCCCTTTGCAGATTCTGCAAAAATACGGTTTCCACAGTGCTGAATTAAAAGAAACCTTCAACTCTGTCAGATGAATGGAGACATCACAAAGAAGTTCCTCGGAATGCTTCGGTCTACTTTTCATGTGAAGATATTTCCAGTTTCACCGTAGGCCTCAAAGGGCTAAGAAATATCCCTTTCCCGATTCTAAAAGACGACCGTTTCCATACTTCTCAATCCAAAGAAAGGTTAAATTCTCTGAGGTTAATGCCCACGTCAGAATGAAGTTTCTCAGAATTCTTCTGTTTAGTTTTTATGTGAAGATATTTCCTTTGTCACCATTGGCCTCAAAGCACTCCTAATATCCATTTACAGATTTCACAAAAAGAGTGTTTCCAAACAGCTCAATCAAAAGAAAGTGTTTAACTCTGTGAGGTGAAAGCACACATCTCCAAGAAGTTTCTCAGAAAGCTTCTGTCTAGTTTATATGTGAAGAAGATTCCTATTTCACCATAGGCAATAAAGGGCTCACAAATATTTTTTGCAGATTCTACAAAAAGACTGTGTCCAAACTGCTCAATAAAAAGAAAGTTTTAACTCTGTTAGATTAACGGACACATCGAAAAGTAGTTTCTCAGAAAACTTCTGTCTAGTTTTTATGTGAAGATACTTCACATTGCAGCATAGTACTCAATCGGCTCAGAAATATCCCTTGGCAGATTCTACAAAAGGACTGTTTCAAAACTGCTCAATCCAAAGAAAGTTTCAACTATGTGAGATGAATGCACCCATCACAAAGAAGTTCCTCAGAATGCTTCTGTTTAGTTTTTACGTGAAGATGTTTCGTTTTTCAACATGGGCCTCAGAATCTCTCCAAATATCCATTTGCAGATTCTAGAAAAAGAGTGTTTCCAAACTCCTCAATGAAAAGAAAGTTTCAATTCCCTGAGATGAAAACACACATCACACCGAAGTTTCTTAGAAAGCTTCCGTCTAGTTTTTATGGGAAGATGTTTCTCTTTCACCAGAAGCCTCAAACGGATCAGAATTCTCCCTTTGCAGATTGTACAATAAGCCTCTTTCCAATCTGCTCAATCAAAAGACAGTTTCAAGTCTGTGAGGTGAATGCACACATCACAAGGGAGTTTCTGAGAAAGCTCCTGTCTAGTTTTTATGTGAAGATATTTCGTATTTCACCACAGGCCATAAGGGGCTCACAAATATCCCTTTGCAGGTTCTACAAAAAGACTGTTTTCAAACTGCTCAATCAAAATAAAGGTTCAACTCTGTGACGTGAATGGACACATCACAAAAAATTTCTCGGAATGATTCTGTCTAGTTTTTATGTGAAGATACTTCCTTTTTCACCAAGGGCCTCAAATATCTCCAAATATCCATTTGCAGATTCTACAGAAAGACTTCCCAAACTGCTCAATCAAAAGAAAGGTTCAACACAGTGAGATGAAGGCACACATCACAAAGAACTTTCTCAGAAATCTTCTGTCTACTTTTTATGTGAGGCTATTTCTTGTTCACCATAGGCCTCAAGCAGCTAAGAAATTTCCCTCTGCAGCTTCCACAAAAGACTGGTTCCAAACTGCTCAACTGAAAGGAAGGTTGAATTCTGTGACATGAATTCACACATCACAAAGAGGTTTTTCAGAAATCTTCTGTCTACTTTTTATGTGAAGATATTTCATATTTCAACAAAGGCCATAAAGGGCTCACAAATATCCCTTTGCAGATTCTAAGGAAAGACATTTTCCAAACTCCTCAATCAAAAGAAAGGTTTCACTCTGTGCGATGAATGGACACATCACAAAGAAGTTTCTCAGAAAGCTACTGTGTCGTTTTTATGTGAAGACGTTTCCTTTTTCACTCTAGGCCTTAAAACTCCCTAAATATACATTCACAGATTCTACAAAAAGACTGATTCCAAACTGCTCAATCAGAAGAAAAGTTCAATTCCGTGTGACAAACTTGCACATCACAAAGCAATTTGTCAGAAAGCTTCTGTCTAGTTTTCATGTGAAGATATTTATTTTTCACCATTGGCCTCAAACTGCTCAGAAATATCCCTTTGCATTTTGTACAAAAAGACTGTTTCCAAACTGCTCAATGAAAAGAAATGGTCAACTCTTAGAGATGAATGGAAATGTCACAAAGAGTTTTCTCAAAAAGCTTCTGTCTGCATTTTATGTGAAGGTATTTCCTTTGGCACCTTAGGCCTTAAACCACTCACAAACATAACTCCGCTTATACTACCAAGAGACTTTCTCCAAATTGCTAAATCAAAAGAAACGTTCAACTCTGTGAGATGAATACACACATCAAAAAGAAGTTTCTCAAAATGCTTCTGTCTAGTTTTTATGTGAAGATATTTCCTTCTTCACCGTAGGCCGCAAATTGTTCCAAATATCCATTTGCGGATTCTACAAAAAGAATGTTTCCAAACTGGTCAATCAACAGAAAGGCTCAACTCTGTGAGACGAAAGCACACATCACAAAGAAGTTTCTCAGAAAGCTTCTGTCTGGTTACTCTGTGAAGATATTTCTTTTTTCACCACAGTCTTTAAGCCACTCAAAAATATCTGTCTGCAGACACTACAAAAAGACGGTTTCCAAACTGGCCCATATAGCATGTTTCAACTATGTGAAATGAATGCACTCATCAAAGAGAAGTTTCTCAGAATTCTTCTGTCTAGTTTTTATCTCAAGATAATTCCTATTTTGCCATAGGAATCAAGGGGCTCACAAATATCCCTTTGCAGATTCTACAAAAGTTCTGTTTACAAACCTCTCAATCAAAAGAAACGTTCAACATTGTGAGATGAATGAACACATCATAAAGAAGCTTCTCAGAATGCTTCTGTCTAGATTTTATGTGAAGATATTTCCATTTTCACCTTAGGCCACAAAGCGCTCCAAACATGCCTTTGCAGATGATACGAAAAGACTGTTTCCAAACTGCTCAATCAAAAGAAATTTTCAACTCTGTGAGATGAAAGCACCCATCACAAAAAAGTTTCTCAGAAATCTTCTGTCTAGTTTTTATGTGAAGATATTTCCTTTTTCACCATAGTCCTTACACCGCTCACAAATATCCTTCTGCAGATACTAGAAAAAGACTGTTTCCAAACTGCTCCATCAAAAGAAAATTTCACCTACCTGAGATGAATGCACACATCATAAAGAAGTTTCTCAGAATTCTTCTGTCCAGTTTAAATGTGAAGATATTTCTCTTTCACCACAGACCTCAAATGGCTCAGAAATATGCCTTTGCAGATTGCAGAAAAAGACTGTCTCTAAACTGCTCAAATAAAATAAAGTTTCAACACTGTGAGATGAATGCACACATCACAAAGAAGTTTCTCAGAAAGCTCCTGTCTAGTTTCTATGTGAAGATATTTACTATTTCACTATAGGCTTCAAAGGTCTCAAAAATATCCCTTTACAGATTCTACAAAAATACGGTTTCCACAGTGCTGAATTAAAAGAAACCTTCAACTCTGTCAGATGAATGGAGACATCACAAAGAAGTTCCTCGGAATGCTTCGGTCTACTTTTCATGTGAAGATATTTCCAGTTTCACCGTAGGCCTCAAAGGGCTAAGAAATATCCCTTTCCAGATTCTAAAAGACGACCGTTTCCATACTTCTCAATCAAAAGAAAGGTTAAATTCTCTGAGGTTAATGCCCACGTCAGAATGAAGTTTCTCAGAATTCTTCTGTTTAGTTTTTATGTGAAGATATTTCCTTTGTCACCATTGGCCTCAAAGCACTCCTAATATCCATTTACAGATTTCACAAAAAGAGTGTTTCCAAACAGCTCAATCAAAAGAAAGTGTTTAACTCTGTGAGGTGAAAGCACACATCTCCAAGGAGTTTCTCAGAAAGCTTCTGTCTAGTTTATATGTGAAGAAGATTCCTATTTCACCATAGGCAATAAAGGGCTCACAAATATTTTTTGCAGTTTCTACAAAAAGACTGTGTCCAAACTGCTCAATAAAAAGAAAGTTTTAACTCTGTTAGATTAACGGACACATCGAAAAGTAGTTTCTCGGAAAACTTCTGTCTAGTTTTTATGTGAAGATACTTCACAGTGCATCATAGTACTCAATGGGCTCAGAAATATCCCTTGGCAGATTCTACAAAAGGACTGTTTCAAAACTGCTCAATCCAAAGAAAGTTTCAACTATGTGAGATGAATGCACACATCACAAAGAAGTTCCTCAGAATGCTTCTGTTTAGTTTTTACGTGAAGATGTTTCGTTTTTCAACATGGGCCTCAGGATCTCTCCAAATATCCATTTGCAGATTCTAGAAAAAGAGTGTTTCCAAACTCCTCAATCAAAAGAAAGTTTCAATTCCGTGAGATGAAAGCACACATCACAACGAAGTTTCTTAGAAAGCTTCCGTCTAGTTTTTATGGGAAGATGTTTCTCTTTCACCATAAGCCTCAAACGGATCAGAATTCTCCCTTTGCAGATTGTACAATAAGCCTCTTTCCAATCTGCTCAATCAAAAGAAAGTTTCAACTCTGTGAGGTGAATGCACACATCACAAGGGAGTTTCTCAGAAAGCTCCTGTCTAGTTTTTGTGTGAAGATATTTCGTATTTCACCACAGGCCATAAGGGGCTCACAAATATCCCTTTGCAGGTTCTACACAAAGACTGTTTCCAAACTGCTCAATCAAAAGAAAGGTTCAACTCTGTGACGTGAATGGACACATCACAAAAAATTTCTCGGAATGATTCTGTCTAGTTTTATGTGAAGATACTTCCTTTTTCACCAAGGGCCTCAAATATCTCCAAATATCCATTTGCAGATTCTACAGAAAGACTTCCCAAACTGCTCAAACAAAAGAAAGGTTCAACACAGTGAGATGAAGGCACACATCACAAAAAAGTTTCTCAGAAATCTTCTGTCTACTTTTTATGTGAGGCTATTTCTTGTTCACCATAGGCCTCAAGCAGCTAAGAAATTTCCCTCTGCAGCTTCTACAAAAGACTGGTTCCAAACTGCTCAACTGAAAGGAAGGTTGAATTCTGTGACATGAATTCACACATCACAAAGAGGTTTTTCAGAAATCTTCTGTCTACTTTTTACGTGAAGATATTTCATATTTCAACAAAGGCCATAAAAGGATCACAAATATCCCTTTGCAGATTCTAAGAAAAGACATTTTCCAAACTCCTCAATCAAAAGAAAGGTTTCACTCTGTGCGATGAATGGACACATCACAAAGAAGTTTCTCAGAAAGCTACTGTGTCGTTTTTATGTGAAGACGTTTCCTTTTTCACTCTAGGCCTTAAAACTCTCTAAATATACATTCACAGATTCTACAAAAAGACGGATTCCAAACTGCTCAATCAGAAGAAAGTTTCAATTCCGTGTGACAAACGTGCACATCACAAAGAAATTTGTCAGAAAGCTTCTGTCTAGTTTTCATGTGAAGATATTTATTTTTCACCATTGGCCCCAAACGGCTCAGAAATATCCCTTTGCAGTTTGTAGGAAAAGACTGTTTCCAAACTGCTCAATGAAAAGAAATGGTCAACTATTAGAGATGAATGGAAATGTCACAAAGAGTTTTCTCATAAAGCTTCTGTCTACATTTTATGTGAAGGTATTTCCTTTGGCACCGTAGGCCTTAAACCACTCACAAACATAACTCCGCTTATACTACCAAGAGACTTTCTCCAAATCGCTAAATCAAAAGAAACGTTCAACTCTGTGAGATGAATACACACATCAAAAAGAAGTTTCTCAAAATGCTTTCTGTCTAGTTTTTATGTGAAGATATTTCCTTTTTCACCATAGTTCTCAAATTGCTCCAAATATCCATTTGCAGATTCTACAAAAAGAGTGTTTCCAAACTGGTCAATCAAAAGAAAGGCTCAACTCTGTGAGACGAAAACACACATCACAAAGTTTCTCAGAAAGCTTCTGTCTGGTTACTCTGTGAAGATATTTCTTTTTTCACCACAGTCTTTAAGCCACTCAAAAATATCTGTCTGCAGACACTACAAAAAGACTGTTTCCAAACTGGCCCATATAGCATGTTTCAACTATGTGAAATGAATGCACTCATCAAAGAGAAGTTTCTCAGAATTCTTCTGTCTAGTTTTTATCTCAAGAGAATTCCTATTTTGCCATAGGAATCAAGGGGCTCACAAATATCCCTTTGCAGATTCTACAAAAGTTGTGTTTACAAACCTCTCAATCAAAAGAAACGTTCAACATTGTGAGATGAATGAACACATCACAAAGAAGTTTCTCAGAATGCTTCTGTCTAGATTTTATGTGAGGATATTTCCATTTTCACCTTAGGCCACAAAGCGCTCCAAACATCCCTTTGCAGATGATACGAAAAGACTGTTTCCAAACTGCTCAATCAAAAGAAATTTTCAACTCTGTGAGATGAAAGCACCCATCACAAAAAAGTTTCTCAGATATCTTCTGTCTAGTTTTTATGTGAAGATATTTCCTTTTTCAGCGTAGTCCTTACACCGCTCACAAATATCCTTCTGCAGATACTAGAAAAAGACTGTTTCCAAACTGCTCCATCAAAAGAAAATTTCACCTACCTGAGATGAATGCACCCATCATAAAGAAGTTTGCTCAGAATTCTTCTGTCTAGTTTAAATGTGAAGATATTTCTCTTTCACCACAGACCTCAAATGGCTCAGAAATATGCCTTTGCAGATTGCAGAAAAAGACTGTCTCTAAACTGCTCAAATAAAATAAAGTTTCAACACTGTGAGATGAATGCACACATCACAAAGAAGTTTCTCAGAAAGCTCCTGTCTAGTTTCTATGTGAAGATATTTACTATTTCACTGTAGGCTTCAAAGGTCTCAAAAATATCCCTTTGCAGATTCTACAAAAATACGGTTTCCACAGTGCTGAATTAAAAGAAACCTTCAACTCTGTCAGATGAATGGAGACATCACAAAGAAGTTCCTCGGAATGCTTTGGTCTAGTTTTCATGTGAAGATATTTCCAGTTTCACCATAGGCCTCAAAGGGCTAAGAAATATCCCTTTCCAAATTCTAAAAGACGAACATTTCCATACTGCTCAATCAAAAGAAAGGTTAAATTCTGTGAGGTGAATGCACACATCAGAATGAAGTTTCTCAGAATTCTTCTGTTTAGTTTTTATGTAAAGATATTTCCTTTGCCACCATTGGCCTCATATCACTCCTAATAACTATTTACAGATTTCACAAAAAGAGTGTTTCCAAACAGCTCAATCAAAAGAAAGTGTTTAACTCTGTGAGGTGAAAGCACACATCTCAATGAAGTTTCTCAGAAAGCTTCTGTCTAGTTTATATGTGAAGAAGATTCCTATTTCACCATAGGCAATAAAGGGCTCACAAATATTTTTTGCAGATTCTACAAAAAGACTGTATCCTAACTGCTCAATAAAAAGAAAGTTTTAACTCTGTTAGATTAATGGACACATCGAAAAGTAGTTTCTCAGAAAACTTTTGTCTAGTTTTTATGTGAAGATATTTCACATTGCACCATAGTACTCAATGGGTTCAGAAATATCCCTTTGCAGATTTTACAAAATGACTGTTTCCAAACTGCTCAATCCAAAAAAAGTTTCAACTATGTGAGATGAATGCACACATCACAAAGAAGTTCCTCAGAATGCTTCTGTTTAGTTTTTACGTGAAGATGTTTCGTTTTTCAACATGGGCCTCAAAAGCTCTCCAAATATCCACTTGCAGATTCTAGAAAAAGAGTGTTTCCAAACTCCTCAATCAAAAGAAAGTTTCAATTCTGTGAGATGAAAGCACACATCACACCGAAGTTTCTTAGAAAGATTCCTTGTAGTTTTTATGGGAAGATGTTTCTCTTTCACCAGAAGCCTCAAACGGATCAGAATTCTCCCTTTGCAGATTGTACAGTAAGCCTCTTTCCAATCTGCTCAATCAAAAGAAAGTTTCAACTCTGGGAGGTGAATGCACACATCACAAGGGAGTTTCTCAGAAAGCTCCTGTCTAGTTTTTGTGTGAAGATATTTCGTATTTCACCACAGGCCATAAGGGACTCACAAATATCCCTTTGCAGGTTCTACACAAAGACTGTTTCCAAACTGCTCAATCAAAAGAAAGGTTCAACTCTGTGACGTGAATGGACACATCACAAAAAATTTCTCGGAATGATTCTGTCTAGATTTTATGTGAAGATACTTCCTTTTTCACCACGGGCCTCAAATATCTCCAAATATCCATTTGCAGATTCTACAGAAAGACTTCCCAAACTGCTCAATCAAAAGAAAGGTTCAACACAGTGAGATGAAGGCACACATCACAAAGAAGTTTCTCAGAAATCTTCTGTCTAGTTTTTATGTGAGGCTATTTCTTGTTCACCATAGGCCTCAAGCAGCTAAGAAATTTCCCTCTGCAGCTTCTACAAAAGACTGTTTCCAAACTGCTCAACTGAAAGAAAGGTTGAATTCTGTGACATGAATTCACACATCACAAAGAGGTTTTTCAGAAATCTTCTGTCTACTTTTTATGTGAAGATATTTCATATTTCAACAAAGGCCATAAAGGACTCACAAATATCCCTTCGCAGATTCTAAGAAAAGACGTTTTCCAAACTCCTCAACCAAAAGAAAGGTTTAACTCTGTGAGATGAATGGACACATCACGAAGAAGTTTCTCAGAAAGCTACTGTGTCGTTTTTATGTGAAGACGTTTCCTTTTTCACTCTAGGCCTTAAAACTCTCTAAATATACATTCACAGATTCTACAAAAAGACTGATTCCAAACTGCTCAATCAGAAGAAAGGTTCAGTTCCGTGTGACAAACGTGCACATCAGAAAGAAATTTGTCAGAAACCTTCTGTCTAGTTTTCATGTGAAGATATTTATTTTTCACCATTGGCCCCAAACGGCTCAGAAATGTCCCTTTGCAGTTTGTAGGAAAAGACTGTTTCCAAACTGCTCAATGAGAAGAAATGGTCAACTATTAGAGATGAATGGACATGTCACAAAGAGTTTTCTCAAAAAGCTTCTGTCTACATTTTTTGTGAAGGTATTTCCTTTGGCACCGTAGGCCTTAAACCACTCACAAACATAACTCCGCTTATACTACCAAGAGACTTTCTCCAAATTGCTAAATCAAAAGAAACGTTCAACTCTGTGAGATGAATACACACATCAAAAAGAAGTTTCTCAAAATGGTTCTGTCTAGTTTTTATGTGAAGATATTTCCTTCTTCACCGTAGGCCGCAAATTGTTCCAAATATCCATTTGCGGATTCTACAAAAAGAATGTTTCCAAACTGGTCAATCAACAGAAAGGCTCAACTCTGTGAGACGATAGCACACATCACAAAGAAGTTTCTCAGAAAGCTTCTGTCTGGTTACTCTGTGAAGATATTTCTTTTTTCACCACAGTCTTTAAGCCACTCAAAAATATCTGTCTGCAGACACTACAAAAAGACAGTTTCCAAACTGGCCCATATAGCATGTTTCAACTATGTGAAATGAATGCACTCATCAAAGAGAAGTTTCTCCGAATTCTTCTGTCTAGTTTTTATCTCAAGATAATTCCTATTTTGCCATAGGAATCAAGGGGCTCACAAATATCCCTTTGCAGATTCTACAAAAGTTCTGTTTACAAACCTCTCAATCAAAAGAAACGTTCAACATTGTGAGATGAATGAACACATCACAAAGAAGTTTCTCAGAATGCTTCTGTCTAGATTTTCTGTGAAGACATTTCCATTTTCACCTTAGGCCACAAAGCGCTCCAAACATCCCTTTGCAGATGATACGAAAAGACTGTTTCCAAACTGCTCAATCAAAAGAAATTTTCAACTCTGTGAGATGAAAGCACCCATCACAAAAAAGTTTCTCAGAAATCTTCTGTCTAGTTTTTATGTGAAGATATTTCCTTTTTCAGCGTAGTCCTTACACCGCTCACAAATATCCTTCTGCAGATACTAGAAAAAGACTGTTTCCAAACTGCTCCATCAAAAGAAAATTTCACCTACCTGAGATGAATGCACCCATCATAAAGAAGTTTCTCAGAATTCTTCTGTCTAGTTTAAATGTGAAGATATTTCTCTTTCACCACAGACTTCAAATGGCTCAGAAATATGCCTTTGCAGATTGCAGAAAAAGACTGTCTCTAAACTGCTCAAATAAAATAAAGTTTCAACACTGTGAGATGAATGCACACATCACAAAGAAGTTTCTCAGAAAGCTCCTGTCTAGTTACTATGTGAAGATATTTACTATTTCACTGTAGGCTTCAAAGGTCTCAAAAATATCCCTTTGCAGATTCTGCAAAAATACGGTTTCCACAGTGCTGAATTAAAAGAAACCTTCAACTCTGTCAGATGAATGGAGACATCACAAAGAAGTTCCTCGGAACGCTTCGGTCTACTTTTCATGTGAAGATATTTCCAGTTTCACCGTAGGCCTCAAAGGGCTAAGAAATATCCCATTCCAGATTTTAAAAGACGGCCGTTTCCATACTTCTCAATCAAAAGAAAGGTTAAATTCTCTGAGGTTAATGCCCACGTCAGAATGAAGTTTCTCAGAATTCTTCTGTGTAGTTTTTATGTGAAGATATTTCCTTTGTCACCATTGGTCTCAAAGCACTCCTAATATCCATTTACAGATTTCACAAAAAGAGTGTTTCCAAACAGCTCAATCAAAAGAAAGTGTTTAACTCTGTGAGGTGAAAGCACACATCTCAAAGAAGTTTCTCCGAAAGCTTCTGTCTAGTTTATATGTGAAGAAGATTCCTATTTCACCATAGGCAATAAAGGGCTCACAAATATTTTTTGCAGATTCTACAAAAAGACTGTATCCAAACTGCTCAATAAAAAGAAAGTTTCAACTCTGTTAGATTAATGGACACATCGAAAAGTAGTTTCTCAGAAAACTTCTGTCTAGTTTTTATGTGAAGATATTTCACATTTCACCATAGTACTCAATGGGCTCAGAAATATCCCTTTGCAGATTCTACAAAAGGACTGTTTCCAAACTGCTCAATCCAAAGAAAGTTTCAACTCTGTGAGATGAATGCACACATCACAAAGAAGTTTCTCAGAATGCTTCTGTTTAGTTTTTACGTGAAGATGTTTCGTTTTTCAACATGGGCCTCAAAAGCTCTCCAAATATCCACTTGCAGATTCTAGAAAAAGAGTGTTTCCAAACTCCTCAATCAAAAGAAAGTTTCAATTCTGTGAGATGAAAGCCCACATCACACCGAAGTTTCTTAGAAAGCTTCCGTCTAGTTTTTATGGGAAGATGTTTCTCTTTCACCAGAAGCCTCAAACGGATCGGAATTCTCCCTTTGCAGATTGTACAATAAGCCTCTTTCCAATCTGCTCAATCAAAAGAAAGTTTCAACTCTGTGAGGTGAATGCACACATCACAAGTTAGTTTCTCAGAAAGCTCCTGTCTAGTTTTTATTTGAAGATATTTCGTATTTCACCAAAGACCACAAGGGGCTCACAAATATCCCTTTGCAGGTTCCACAAAAAGACTGTTTCCAAACTGCTCAATCAAAAGAAAGGTTCAACTCTGTGACGTGAATGGACTCATCGCAGAAAATTTCTTGGAATGATTCTGTCTAGTTTTTATGTGAAGATACTTTCTTTTTCACCATGGGCCTGAAATAGCTCCAAATATCCATTTGCAGATTCTACAAAAAAGACTTTCCAAACTGCTCAATCAAAGAAAGGTTCAACACTGTGAGATGAAAGCACACATCACAAAGAAGTTTCTCAGAAATCTTCTGTCTACTTTTTATGTGAGGCTATTTCTGGTTCACCATAGGCCTCAAGCAGCTAAGAAATTTCCCTCTGCAGCTTCTACAAAAGACTGGTTCCAAACTGCTCAACTGAAAGGAAGGTTGAATTCTGTGACATGAATTCACACATCACAAAGAGATTTCTCAGAAATCTTCTGTCTACTTTTTATGTGAAGATATTTCATATTTCAACAAAGGCCATAAAGGGCTCACAAATATGCCTTTGCAGATTCTAAGAAAAGACATTTTCCAAACTCCTCAATCAAAAGACAGGTTTCACTCTGTGCGATGAATGGACACATCACAAAGAAGTTTCTCAGAAAGCTACTGCGTCGTTTTTATGTGAAGACGTTTCCTTTTTCACTCTAGGCCTTAAAACTCTCTAAATATACATTCACAGATTCTACAAAAAGACTGATTCCAAACTGCTCAATCAGAAGAAAGGTTCAGTTCCGTGTGACAAACGTGCACATCACAAAGAAATTTGTCAGAAAGCTTCTGCCTAGTTTTCATGTGAAGATATTTATTTTTCACCATTGGCCCCAAACGGCTCAGAAATATCCCTTTGCAGTTTGTAGGAAAAGACTGTTTCCAAACTGCTCAATGAGAAGAAATGGTCAACTATTAGAGATGAATGGAAATGTCACAAGGAGTTTTCTCAAAATTCTTCTGTCTACATTTTATGTGAAGGTATTTCCTTTGGCACCGTAGGCCTTAAACCACTCACAAACATAACTCTGCTTATACTACCAAGAGACTTTCTCCAAATTGCTAAATCAAAAGAAACGTTCAACTCTGTGAGATGAATACACACATCAAAAAGAAGTTTCTCAAAATGCTTCTGTCTAGTTTTTATGTGAAGATATTTCCTTCTTCACCGTAGGCCGCAAATTGCTCCAAATATCCATTTGCGGATTCTACAGAAAGAATGTTTCCAAACTGGTCAATCAACAGAAAGGCTCAACTCTGTGAGACGAAAGCACACATCACAAAGAAGTTTCTCAGAAAGCTTCTGTCTGGTTACTCTGTGAAGATATTTCTTTTTTCACCACAGTCTTTAAGCCACTCAAAAATATCTGTCTGCAGACACTACAAAAAGACTGTTTCCAAACTGGCCCATATAGCATGTTTCAAATATGTGAAATGAATGCACTCATCAAAGAGAAGTTTCTCAGAATTCTTCTGTCTAGTTTTTATCTCAAGATAATTCCTATTTTGCCATAGGAATCAAGGGGCTCACAAATATCCCTTTGCAGATTCTACAAAAGTTCTGTTTACAAAGCTCTCAATCAAAAGAAACGTTCAACATTGTGAGGTGAATGAACACATCACAAAGAAGTTTCTCAGAATGCTTCTGTCTAGATTTTATGTGAAGATATTTCCATTTTCACCTTAGACCACAAAGCGCTCCAAACATCCCTTTGCAGATGATACGAAAAGACTGTTTCCAAACTGCTCAATCAAAAGAAATTTTCAACTCTGTGAGATGAAAGCACCCATCACAAGAAAGTTTCTCAGAAATCTTCTGTCTAGTTTTTATGTGAAGATATTTCCTTTTTCACCATAGGCCTTAAACTGCTCACAAATATCCTTCTGCAGATACTAAAAAAATACTGTTTCCAAACTGCTCCATCAAAAGAAAAGTTCACCTCTCTGAGATGAATGCACACATCACAAAGAAGTTTCTCAGAATTCTTCTGTCTAGTTTAAATGTGAAGATATTTCTCTTTCACCACAGACCTCAAATGGCTCAGAAATAAGCCTTTGCAGATTGCAGAAAAAGACTGTCTCTAAACTGCTCAAATAAAATAAAGTTTCAACACTGTGAGATGAATGCACACATCACAAAGAAGTTTCTCAGAAAGCTCCTGTCTAGTTTCTATGTGAAGATATTTACTATTTCACTGTAGGCTTCAAAGGTCTCAAAAATATCCCTTTGCAGATTCTGCAAAAATACGGTTTCCACAGTGCTGAATTAAAAGAAACCTTCAACTCTGTCAGATGAATGGAGACATCACAAAGAAGTTCCTCGGAACGCTTCGGTCTAGTTTTCATGTAAAGATATTTCCAGTTTCACCATAGGCCTCAAAGGGCCAAGAAATATCCCTTTCCAGATTCTAAAAGACAACCACTTCCATACTGCTCAATCAAAAGAAAGCTTAAATTCTGTGAGGTGAATGCACACATGAGAATGAAATTTCTCAGAATTCTTCTGTTTAGTTTTTATGAGAAGTTATTTCCTTTGTCACCATTGGCCTCAAAGCACTCCTAATATCCATTTACAGATTTCACAAAAAGAGTGTTTCCAAACAGCTCAATCAAAAGAAAGTGTTTAACTCTGTGAGGTGAAAGCACACATCTCAATGAAGTTTCTCAGAACGCTTCTGTCTAGTTTATATGTGAAGATGATTCCTATTTCACCATAGGCAATAAAGGGCTCACAAATATGTTTTGCAGATTCTACAAAAAGACTGTGTCCAAACTGCTCAATAAAAAGAAAGTTTTAACTCTGTTAGATTAACGGACACATCGAAAAGTAGTTTCTCAGAAAACTTCTGTCTAGTTTTTATGTGAAGATACTTCACAGTGCATCATAGTACTCAATGGGCTCAGAAATATCCCCTGGCAGATTCTACAAAAGGACTGTTTCAAAACTGCTCAATCCAAAGAAAGTTTCAACTATGTGAGATGAATGCACACATCACAAAGGAGTTCTTCAGAATGCTTCTGTTTAGTTTTTACGTGAAGATATTTCGTTTTTCACCACGGGCCTCAAAAGCTCTCCAAATATCCATTTGCATATTCTAGAAAAAGAGTGTTTCCAAACTCCTCAATCAAAGGATAGTTTCAATTCTGTGAGACGAAAGCACACATCACAACGAAGTTTCTTAGAAAGCGTCCGTCTAGTTTTTATGGGAAGATGTTTCTCTTTCACCATAAGCCTCAAACGGATCAGAATTCTCCCTTTGCAGATTGTACAATGAGCCTCTTTCCAATCTGCTCAATCAAAAGAAAGTTTCAACTCTGTGAGGTGAATGCACACATCACAAGGGAGTTTCTCAGAAAGCTCCTGTCTAGTTTTTATGTGAAGATATTTCGTATTTCACCACAGGCCATAAGGGGCTCACAAATATCCCTTTGCAGGTTCTACAAAAAGACTGTTTTCAAACTGCTCAATCAAAAGAAAGGTTCAACTCTGTGACGTGAATGGACACATCACAAAAAATTTTTCGGAATCATTCTGTCTAGTTTTTATGTGAAGATACTTCCTTTTTCACCAAGGGCCTCAAATATCTCCAAATATCCATTTGCAGATTCTACAGAAAGACTTCCCAAACTGCTCAATCAAAAGAAAGGTTCAACACAGTGAGATGAAGGCACACATCACAAAGAAGTTTCTCAGAAATCTTCGGTCTACTGTTTATGTGAGGCTATTTCTTGTTCACCATAGGCCTCAAGCAGCTAAGAAATTTCCCTCTGCAGCTTCTACAAAAGACTGGTTACAAACTGCTCAACTGAAAGGAAGGTTGAATTCTGTGACATGAATTCACACATCACAAAGAGGTTTCTCAGAAATCTTCTGTCTACTTTTTATGTGAAGATATTTCATATTTCAACAAAGGCCATAAAGGGCTCACAAATATCCCTTTGCGGATTCTAAGAAAAGACATTTTCCAAACTCCTCAATCAAAAGAAATGTTTCACTCTGTGCGATGAATGGACACATCACAAAGAAATTTCTCAGAAAGCTACTGTGTCGTTTTTATGTGAAGACGTTTCCTTTTTCACTCTAGGCCTTAAAACTCTCTAAATATACATTCACAGATTCTACAAAAAGACTGATTCCAAACTGCTCAATCAGAAGAAAGGTTCAATTCCTTGTGACAAACGTGCACATCACAAAGAAATTTGTCAGAAAGCATCTGTCTAGTTTTCATGTGAAGATATTTATTTTTCACCATTGGCCCCAAACGGCTCAGAAATGTCCCTTTGCAGTTTGTAGGAAAAGACTGTTTCCAAACTGCTCAATGAGAAGAAATGGTCAACAATTAGAGATGAATGGACATGTCACAAAGAGTTTTCTCAAAAAGCTTCTGTCTGCATTTTATGTGAAGGTATTTCCTTTAGCACCGTAGGCCTTAAACCACTCACAAACATAACTCCGCTTATACTACCAAGAGACTTTCTCCAAATTGCTAAATCAAAAGAAACGTTCAACTCTGAGAGATGAATACACACATCAAAAAGAAGTTTCTCAAAATGCTTCTGTCTAGTTTTTATGTGAAGATATTTCCTTCTTCACCGTAGGCCGCAAATTGCTCCAAATATCCATTTGCGGATTCTACAGAAAGAATGTTTCCAAACTGGTCAATCAACAGAAAGGCTCAACTCTGTGAGACGAAAGCACACATCACAAAGAAGTTTCTCAGAAAACTTCTGTCTGGTTTTAATGTGAAGATATTTACTTTTTCACCATGGGCCTGAAAACACTCCATATATCCACTTGCAGATTCTACAAAAATAGTGTTTTCAAACTGCTCAATGAAAAGAAAGGTTCAATTCTGTGAGATGAAAGCACACTTCACAAAAGTATTTCTTAGAAACCTTCTGTCTAGCTTTTATCTCAAGA
This sequence comes from Homo sapiens, assembly GCF_000001405.40. NCBI lineage: Eukaryota > Metazoa > Chordata > Mammalia > Primates > Hominidae > Homo > Homo sapiens. Next base: position 16,324,748 of record NC_000014.9, on the reverse strand, counting down.
TAATTCCTATTTTGCCATAGGAATCAATGTGCTCACAAATATCCCTTTGCAGATTCTACAAAAGTTCTGTTTCCAAGCTGCTCAATCAAAAGAAACGTTCAACATTGTGAGATGAATGCACACATCACAAAGAAGTTTCTCAGAATGCTTGTGTCTAGATTTTATGTGAAGATATTTCCATTTTCACCTTAGGCCACAAAGCGTTCCAAACATCCCTTTGCAGATGATACGAAAAGACTGTTTCCAAACTGCTCAATCAAAAGAAACTTTCAACTCTGTGAGATGAAAGCACCCATCACAAAAAAGTTTCTCAGAAATCTTCTGTCTAGTTTTTATGTGAAGATATTTCCTTTTTCAGCATAGTCCTTACACCGCTCACAAATATCCTTCTGCAGATACTAGAAAAAGACTGTTTCCAAACTGCTCCATCAAAAGAAAATTTCACCTACCTGAGATGAATGCACACATCATAAAGAAGTTTCTCAGAATTCTTCTGTCTAGTTTAAATGTGAAGATATTTCTTTTTCACCATAGACCTCAAATGGCTCAGAAATATACCTTTGCAGATTGCAGAAAAAGACTGTTTCTAAACTTCTCAAACAAAATAAAGTTTCAACACTGTGAGATGAATGCACACATCAGAAAGAAGTTTCTCAGAAAGCTCCTGTCTAGTTTCTGTGTGAAGATATTTACTATTTCACTATAGGCTTCAAAGGTCCCAAAAATATCCCTTTGCAGATTCTACAAAAATATGGTTTCCACAGTGCTGAATTGAAAGAAACCTTCAACTCTGTCAGATGAATGGAGACATCACAAAGAAGTTCCCCGGAATGCTTCGGTCTACTTTTCATGTGAAGATATTTCCAGTTTCACCGTAGGCCTCAAAGGGCTAAGAAATATCCCTTTCCAGATTCTAAAAGACGACCGTTTCCATACTTCTCAATCAAAAGAAAGGTTAAGTTCTCTGAGGTTAATGCCCACGTCAGAATGAAGTTTCTCAGAATTCTTCTGTTTAGTTTTTATGTGAAGATATTTCCTTTGTCACCATTGGCCTCAAAGCACTCCTAATATCCATTTACAGATTTCACAAAAAGAGTGTTTCCAAACAGCTCAATCAAAAGAAAGTGTTTAACTCTGTGAGGTGAAAGCACACATCTCAAAGAAGTTTTTCCGAAAGCTTCTGTCTAGTTTATATGTGAAGAAGATTCCTATTTCACCATAGGCAATAAAGGGCTCGCAAATATTTTTTGCAGATTCTACAAAAAGACTGTATCCAAACTGCTCAATAAAAAGAAAGTTTTAACTCTGTTAGATTAATGGACACATCGAAAGGTAGTTTCTCAGAAAACTTCTGTCTAGTTTTTATGTGAAGATACTTCACATTGCAGCATAGTACTCAATGGGCTCAGAAATATCCCTTGGCAGATTCTACAAAAGGACTGTTTCAAAACTGCTCAATCCAAAGAAAGTTTCAACTATGTGAGATGAATGCACACATCACAAGGAAGTTCCTCAGAATGCTTCTGTTTAGTTTTTACGTGAAGATGTTTCGTTTTTCAACATGGGCCTCAAAAGCTCTCCAAATATCCACTTGCAGATTCTAGAAAAAGAGTGTTTCCAAACTCCTCAATCAAAAGAAAGTTTCAATTCTGTGAGATGAAAGCACACATCACACCGAAGTTTCTTAGAAAGCTTCCGTCTAGTTTTAATGGGAAGATGTTTCTCTTTCACCAGAAGCCTCAAAAGGATCAGAATTCTCCCTTTGCAGATTGTACAATAAGCCTCTTTCCAATCTGCTCAACCAAAAGAAAGTTTCAACTCTGTAAGGTGAATGCACACATCACAAGGGAGTTTCTCCGAAAGCTCCTGTCTAGTTTTTATGTGAAGATATTTCGTATTTCACCACAGGCCATAAGGGGCTCACAAATATCCCTTTGCAGGTTCTACAAAAAGACTGTTTCCAAACTGCTCAATCAAAAGAAAGGTTCAACTCTGTGACGTGAATGGACACATCGCAGAAAATTTCTTGGAACGATCCTGTCTAGTTTTTATGTGAAGATACTTCCTTTTTCACCACGAGCCTCAAATATCTCCAAATATCCATTTGCAGATTCTACAGAAAGACTTTCCAAACTGCTCCATCAAAAGAAAGGTTCAACACTGTGAGATGAAGGCACACATCACCAAGAAGTTTCTCAGAAACCTTCTGTCTAGTTTTTATGTGAGGCTATTTCTTGTTCACCATAGGCCTCAAGCAGCTAAGAAATTTCCCTCTGCAGCTTCTACAAAAGACTGGTTACAAACTGTTCAACTGAAAGGAAGGTTGAATTCTGTGACATGAATTCACACATCACAAAGAGGTTTCTCAGAAATCTTCTGTCTACTTTTTACGTGAAGATATTTCATATTTCAACAAAGGCCGTAAAGGGCTCACAAATAACCCTTTGCAGATTCTAAGAAAAGACATTTTCCAAACTCCTCAATCAAAAGAAAGGTTTCACTCTGTGCGATGAATGGACACATCACAAAGAAGTTTCTCAGAAAGCTACTGTATCGTTTTTATGTGAAGACATTGCCTCTTGCACCCTAGGCCTTAAAACTCTCTAAACACACATTCACAGATTCTACAAAAAGACTGATTCCAAACTGCTCAATCAGAAGAAGGGTTCAATTCCGTGTGACAAACGTGCACATCACAAAGAAATTTGTCAGAAAGCTTCTGTCTAGTTTTCATGTGAAGATATTTATTTTTCACCATTGGCCCCAAACGGCTCAGAAATGTCCCTTTGCAGTTTGTAGGAAAAGACTGTTTCCAAACTGCTCAATGAGAAGAAATGGTCAAATATGAGAGATGAATGGAAATGTCACAAAGAGTTTTCTCAAAAAGCTTCTGTCTGCATTTTATGTGAAGGTATTTCCTTTGGCACCGTAGGCCTTAAACCACTCACAAACATAACTCCGCTTATACTACCAAGAGACTTTCTCCAAATTGCTAAATCAAAAGAAACGTTCAACACTGTGAGATGAATACACACATCAAAAAGAAGTTTCTCAAAATGCTTCTGTCTAGTTTTTATGTGAAGATATTTCCTTCTTCACCGTAGGCCGCAAATTGCTCCAAATATCCATTTGCGTATTCTACAGAAAGAATGTTTCCAAACTGGTCAATCAACAGAAAGGCTCAACTCTGTGAGACGAAAGCACACATCACAAAGAAGTTTCTCAGAAAGCTTCTCTCTGGTTACTCTGTGAAGATATTTCTTTTTTCACCACAGTCTTTAAGCCACTCAAAAATATCTGTCTGCAGACACTACAAAAAGACGGTTTCCAAACTGGCCCATATAGCATGTTTCAACTATGTGAAATGAATGCACTCATCAAAGAGAAGTTTCTCAGAATTCTCCTGTCTAGTTTTTATCTCAAGATAATTCCTATTTTGCCATAGGAATCAAGGGGCTCACAAATATCCCTTTGCAGATCCTACAAAAGTTCTGTTTACAAACCTCTCAATCAAAAGAAACGTTCAACATTGTGAGACGAATGAACACATCACAAAGAAGTTTCTCAGAATGCTTCTGTCTAGATTTTATGTGAAGATATTTCCATTTTCACCTTAGGCCACAAAGCGCTCCACACATCCCTTTGCAGATGATACGAAAAGACTGTTTCCAAACTGCTCAATCAAAAGAAATTTTCAACTCTGTGAGATGAAAGCAACCATCACAAAAAAGTTTCTCAGAAATCTTCTGTCTAGTTTTTATGTGAAGATATTTCCTTTTTCAGCATAGTCCTTACACCGCTCACAAATATCCTTCTGCAGATACTAGAAAAAGACTGTTTCCAAACTGCTCCATCAAAAGAAAATTTCACCTACCTGAGAGGAATGCACACATCATAAAGAAGTTTCTCAGAATTCTTCTGTCTAGTTTCAATGTGAAGATATTTCTTTTTCACCATAGACCTCAAATGGCTCAGAAATATACCTTTGCAGATTGCAGAAAAAGACTGTTTCTAAACTGCTCAAACAAAATAAAGTTTCAACACTGTGAGATGAATGCGCACATCACAAAGAAGTTTCTCAGAAAGCTCCTGTCTAGTTTCTGTGTGAAGATATTTACTCTTTCACTATAGGCTTCAAAGGTCCCAAAAATATCCCTTTGCAGATTCTACAAAAATATGGTTTCCACAGTGCTGAATTGAAAGAAACCTTCAACTCTGTCAGATGAATGGAGACATCACAAAGAAGTTCCCCGGAATGCTTGGTCTAGTTTTCATGTGAAGATATTTCCAGTTTCACCATAGGCCTCAAAGGGCTAAGAAATATCCCTTTCCAAATTCTAAAAGACGAACATTTCCATACTGCTCAATCAAAAGAAAGGTTAAATTCTGTGAGGTGAATGCACACATCAGAATGAAGTTTCTCAGAATTCTCTCTGTGTAGTTTTTATGTGAAGATATTTCCTTTGTCACCATTGGCCTCAAAGCACTCCTAATATCCATTTACAGATTTCACAAAAAGAGTGTTTCCAAACAGCTCAATCAAAAGAAAGTGTTTAACTCTGTGAGGTGAAAGCACACATCTCAAAGAAGTTTCTCCGAAAGCTTCTGTCTAGTTTATATGTGAAGAAGATTCCTATTTCACCATAGGCAATAAAGGGCTCGCAAATATTTTTTGCAGATTCTACAAAAAGACTGTATCCAAACTGCTCAATAAAAAGAAAGTTTTAACTCTGTTAGATTAATGGACACATCGAAAGGTAGTTTCTCAGAAATCTTCTGTCTAGCTTTTATGTGAAGATACTTCACAGTGCATCATAGTACTCAATGGGCTCAGAAATATCCCTTGGCAGATTCTACAAAAGGACTGTTTCAAAACTGCTCAATCCAAAGAAAGTTTCAACTATGTGAGATGAATGCACACATCACAAAGAAGTTCCTCAGAATGCTTCTGTTTAGTTTTTATGTGAAGATGTTTCGTTTTTCAACATGGGCCTCAGGATCTCTCCAAATATCCATTTGCAGATTCTAGAAAAAGAGTGTTTCCAAACTCCTCAATCAAAAGAAAGTTTCAATTCCGTGAGATGAAAGCACACATCACAACGAAGTTTCTTAGAAAGCTTCCGTCTAGTTTTTATGGGAAGATGTTTCTCTTTCACCAGAAGCCTCAAACGGATCAGAATTCTCCCTTTGCAGATTGTACAATAAGCCTCTTTCCAATCTCCTCAATCAAAAGAAAGTTTCAACTCTGTGAGGTGAATGCACACATCAAAAGGGAGTTTCTCAGAAAGCTCCTGTCTAGTTTTTATGTGAAGATATTTCGTATTCCACCACAGGCCATAAGGGGCTCACAAATATCCCTTTGCAGGTTCCACAAAAAGACTGTTGCCAAACTGCTCAATCAAAAGAAAGGTTCAACTCTGTGACGTGAATGGACACATCACAAACAATTTCTTGGAATGATTCTGTCTAGTTTTTATGTGAAGATACTTCCTTTTTCACCACGGGCCTCAAATATCTCCAAATATCCATTTACAGATTCTACAGAAAGACTTCCCAAACTGCTCAATCAAAAGAAAGGTTCAACACAGTGAGATGAAGGCACACATCACAAAGAAGTTTCTCAGAAATCTTCTGTCTACTTTTTATGTGAGGCTATTTCTGGTTCACCTTAGGCCTCAAGCAGCTAAGAAATTTCCCTCTGCAGCTTCTACAAAAGACTGGTTCCAAACTGCTCAACTGAAAGGAAGGTTGAATTCTGTGACATGAATTCACACATCACAAAGAGATTTCTCAGAAATCTTCTGTCTACTTTTTACGTGAAGATATTTCATATTTCAACAAAGGCCATAAAGGGCTCACAAATATCCCTTTGCAGATTCTAAGAAAAGACATTTTCCAAACTCCTCAATCAAAAGAAAGGTTTCACTCTGTGCGATGAATGGACACATCACAAAGAAGTTTCTCAGAAAGCTACTGTGTCGTTTTTATGTGAAGACGTTTCCTTTTTCACTCTAGGCCTTAAAACTCTCTAAATATACATTCACAGATTCTACAAAAAGACTGATTCCAAACTGCTCAATCAGAAGAAAGGTTCAATTTCGTGTGACAAACGTGCACATCACAAAGAAATTTGTCAGAAAGCTTCTGTCTAGTTTTCATGTGAAGATATTTATTTTTCACCATTGGCCCCAAACGGCTCAGAAATATCCCTTTGCAGTTTGTAGGAAAAGACTGTTTCCAAACTGCTCAATGAGAAGAAATTTTCAACTATTAGAGATGAATGGAAATGTCACAAAGAGTTTTCTCAAAAAGCTTCTGTCTGCATTTTATGTGAAGGTATTTCCTTTGGCACCGTAGGCCTTAAACCACTCACAAACATAACTCCGCTTATACTACCAAGAGACTTTCTCCAAATTGCTAAATCAAAAGAAACGTTCAACTCTGAGAGATGAATACACACATCAAAAAGAAGTTTCTCAAAATGCTTCTGTCTAGTTTTTATCTGAAGATATTTCCTTCTTCACCGTAGGCCGCAAATTGCTCCAAATATCCATTTGCGGATTCTACAGAAAGAATGTTTCCAAACTGGTCAATCAACAGAAAGGCTCAACTCTGTGAGACGAAAGCACACATCACAAAGAAGTTTCTCAGAAAGCTTCTGTCTGGTTACTCTGTGAAGATATTTCTTTTTTCACCACAGTCTTTAAGCCACTCAAAAATATCTGTCTGCAGACACTACAAAAAGACTGTTTCCAAACTGGCCCATATAGCATGTTTCAACTATGTGAAAGGAATGCACTCATCAAAGAGAAGTTTCTCAGAATTCTTCTGTCTAGTTTTTATCTCAAGATAATTCCTATTTTGCCATAGGAATCACGGGGCTCAAAAATATCCCTTTGCAGATTCTACAAAAGTTCTGTTTACAAACCTCTCAATCAAAAGAAACGTTCAACATTGTGAGATGAATGAACACATCACAAAGAAGTTTCTCAGAATGCTTCTGTCTAGTTTTTATGTGAAGATATTTCCATTTTCACCTTAGGCCACAAAGTGCTCCAAATATCCATTTGCAGATTATACAAAAAGACTGTTTCCAAACTGCTCAATCAAAAGAAATTTTCAACTCTGTGAGATGAAAGCACACATCACAAAGAAGTTTCTCAGAAATCTTCTGTCTAGTTTTTATGTGAAGATATTCCCTTTTTCACCATAGTCCTTACACCGCTCACAAATATCCTTCTGCAGATACTAGAAAAAGACTGTTTCCAAACTGCTCCATCAAAAGAAAATTTCGCCTACCTGAGATGAATGCACACATCATAAAGAAGTTTCTCAGAATTCTTCTGTCTATTTTAAATGTGAAGATATTTCTTTTTTCACCATAGACCTCAAATGGCTCAGAAATATGCCTTTGCAGATTGCAGAAAAAGACTGTTTCTAAACTGCTCAAACAAAATAAAGTTTCAACACTGTTAGATGAATGCGCACATCACAAAGAAGTTTCTCAGAAAGCTCCTGTCTAGTTTCAATGTGAAGATATTTACTATTTCACTATAGGCTTCAAAGGTCCCAAAAATATCCCTTTGCAGATTCTACAAAAATACGGTTTCCACAGTGCTGAATTAAAAGAAACCTTCAACTCTGTCAGATGAATGGAGACATCACAAAGAAGTTCCTCGGAATGCTTCGGTCTACTTTTCATGTGAAGATATTTCCAGTTTCACCGTAGGCCTCAAAGGGCTAAGAAATATCCCTTTCCAGATTCTAAAAGACGACCGTTTCCATACTTTTCAATCAAAAGAAAGGTTAAATTCTCTGAGGTTAATGCCCACGTCAGAATGAAGTTTCTCAGAATTCTTCTGTTTAGTTTTTATGAGAAGATATTTCCTTTTCCACCATTGGCCTCAAAGCACTCCTAATATCCATTTACAGATTTCACAAAAAGAGTGTTTCCAAACAGCTCAATCAAAAGAAAGTGTTTAACTCCTGTGAGGTGAAAGCACACATCTCAATGGAGTTTCTCAGAAAGCTTCTGTCTGGTTTATATGTGAAGAAGATTCCTATTTCACCATAGGCAATAAAGGGCTCGCAAATATTTTTTGCAGATTCTACAAATAGACTGTATCCAAACTGCTCAATAAAAAGAAAGTTTTAACTCTGTTTGATTAATGGACACATCGAAAAGTAGTTTCTCAGAAAACTTCTATCTAGTTTTTATGTGAAGATATTTCATATTTCAAAATAGGTCTCAATGAGCTCAAAAATAAACTCTTGCAGATGCTACAAAAAGAGTGTTTCCAAAAAGCTCAATCAAAATAAAGGTTTAACACTGTAAGATAAATACACACATTACAAAGAAGTCTCTCAGAATTCTTCTGTTTAGTTTTTACGTGAAGATGTTTCGTTTTTCAACATGGGCCTCAAAAGCTCTCCAAATATCCATTTGCAGATTCTAGAAAAAGAGTGTTTCCAAACTCCTCAATCAAAAGAAAGTTTCAATTCTGTGAGATGAAAGCACACATCACAACGAAGTTTCTTAGAAAGCTTCCGTCTAGTTTTTATGGGAAGATGTTTCTCTTTCACCATAAGCCTCAAACGGATCAGAATTCTCCCTTTGCAGTTTGTACAATAAGCCTCTTTCCAATCTGCTCAATCAAAAGAAAGTTTCAACTCTGTGAGGTGAATGCACACATCACAAGGGAGTTTCTCAGAAAGCTCCTGTCTAGTTTTTGTGTGAAGATATTTCGTATTTCACCACAGGCCATAAGGGGCTCACAAATATCCCTTTGCAGGTTCTATACAAAGACTGTTTCCAAACTGCTCAATCAAAAGAAAGTTCAACTCTGTGACGTGAATGGACACATCACAAAAAATTTCTCGGAATAATTCTGTCTAGTTTTATGTGAAGATACTTCCTTTTTCACCAAGGGCCTCAAATATCTCCAAATATCCATTTGCAGATTCTACAGAAAGACTTCCCAAACTGCTCAAACAAAAGAAAGGTTCAACACAGTGAGATGAAGGCACACATCACAAAGAAGTTTCTCAGAAATCTTCTGTCTAGTTTTTATGTGAGGCTATTTCTTGTTCACCATAGGCCTCAAGCAGCTAAGAAATTTCCCTCTGCAGCTTCTACAAAAGACTGGTTCCAAACTGCTCAACTGAAAGAAAGGTTGAATTCTGTGACATGAATTCACACATCACAAAGAGGTTTTTCAGAAATCTTCTGTCTACTTTTTATGTGAAGATATTTCATATTTCAACAAAGGCCATAAAGGGCTCACAGATATCCCTTTGCAGATTCTAAGAAAAGACATTTTCCAAGCTCCTCAATCAAAAGAAAGGTTTCACTCTGTGCGATGAATGGACACATCACAAAGAAGTTTCTCAGAAAGCTACTGTGTCGTTTTTATGTGAAGACGTTTCCTTTTTCACTCTAGGCCTTAAAACTCTCTAAATATACATTCACAGATTCTACAAAAAGACTGATTCCAAACTGCTCAATCAGAAGAAAGGTTCAATTCCGTGTGACAAACGTGCACATCACAAAGAAATTTGTCAGAAAGCTTCTGTCTAGTTTTCATGTGAAGATATTTATTTTTCACCATTGGCCCCAAACGGCTCAGAAATATCCCTTTGCAGTTTGTAGGAAAAGACTGTTTCCAAACTGCTCAATGAAAAGAAATGGTCAACTATTAGAGATGAATGGAAATGTCACAAAGAGTTTTCTCAAAAAGCTTCTGTCTGCATTTTATGTGAAGGTATTTCCTTTGGCACCGTAGGCCTTAAACCACTCACAAACATAACTCCGCTTATACTACCAAGAGACTTTCTCCAAATTGCTAAATCAAAAGAAATGTTCAACTCTGTGAGATGAATACACACATCAAAAAGAAGTTTCTCAAAATGCTTCTGTCTAGTTTTTATGTGAAGATATTTCCTTCTTCACCGTAGGCCGCAAATTGCTCCAAATATCCATTTGCGGATTCTACAGAAAGAATGTTTCAAACTGGTCAATCAACAGAAAGGCTCAACTCTGTGAGACGAAAGCACACATCACAAAGAAGTTTCTCAGAAAGCTTCTGTCTGGTTACTCTGTGAAGATATTTCTTTTTTCACCACAGTCTTTAAGCCACTCAAAAATATCTGTCTGCAGACACTACAAAAAGACTGTTTCCAAACTGGCCCATATAGCATGTTTCAACTATGTGAAATGAATGCACTCATCAAAGAGAAGTTCCTCAGAATTCTTCTGTCTAGTTTTTATCTCAAGATAATTCCTATTTTGCCATAGGAATCAAGGGGCTCACAAATATCCCTTTGCATATCCTACAAAAGTTCTGTTTACAAACCTCTCAATCAAAAGAAACGTTCAACATTGTGAGACGAATGAACACATCACAAAGAAGTTTCTCAGAATGCTTCTGTCTAGATTTTATGTGAAGATATTTCCATTTTCACCTTAGGCCACAAAGCGCTCCAAACATCCCTTTGCAGATGATACGAAAAGACTGTGTCCAAACTGCTCAATCAAAAGAAATTTTCAACTCTGTGAGATGAAAGCACCCATCACAAAAAAGTTTCTCAGAAATCTTCTGTCTAGTTTTTTTGTGAAGATATTTCCTTTTTCAGCGTAGTCCTTACACCGCTCACAAATATCCTTCTGCAGATACTAGAAAAAGACTGTTTCCAAACTGCTCCATCAAAAGAAAATTTCACCTACCTGAGATGAATGCACACATCATAAAGAAGTTTCTCAGAATTCTTCTGTCTAGTTTAAATGTGAAGATATTTCTCTTTCACCGCAGACCTCAAATGGCTCAGAAATATGCCTTTGCAGTTTGCAGAAAAAGACTGTCTCTAAACTGCTCAAATAAAATAAAGTTTCAACACTGTGAGATGAATGCACACATCACAAAGAAGTTTCTCAGAAAGCTCCTGTCTAGTTTCTATGTGAAGATATTTACTATTTCAATATAGGCTTCAAAGGTCTCAAAAATATCCCTTTGCAGATTCTACAAAAATACGGTTTCCACAGTGCTGAATTAAAAGAAACCTTCAACTCTGTCAGATGAACAGAGACATCACAAAGAAGTTCCTCGGAATGCTTCGGTCTACTTTTCATGTGAAGATATTTCCAGTTTCACCGTAGGCCTCAAAGGGCTAAGAAATATCCCTTTCCAGATTCTAAAAGACGACCGTTTCCATACTTCTCAATCCAAAGAAAGGTTAAATTCTCTGAGGTTAATGCCCACGTCAGAATGAAGTTTCTCAGAATTCTTCTGTTTAGTTTTTATGAGAAGATATTTCCTTTTCCACCATTGGCCTCAAAGCACTCCTAATATCCATTTACAGATTTCACAAAAAGAGTGTTTCCAAACAGCTCAATCAAAAGAAAGTGTTTAACTCTGTGAGGTGAAAGCACACATCTCAATGGAGTTTCTCAGAAAGCTTCTGTCTAGTTTATATGTGAAGAAGATTCCTATTTCACCATAGGCAATAAAGGGCTCGCAAATATTTTTTGCAGATTCTACAAAAAGACTGTATCCAAACTGCTCAATAAAAACAAAGTTTTAACTCTGTTTGACTAATGGACACATTGAAAGGTAATTTCTCAGAAAACTTCTGTCTAGTTTTTATGTGAAGATATTTCACATTGCACCATAGTACTCAATGGGCTCAGAAATATCCCTTTGCAGATTCTACAAGAGGACTGTTTCCAAACTACTCAATCCAAAGACAGTTTCAACTATGTGAGATGAATGCACACATCACAAAGAAGTTTCTCAGAGTGCTTCTGTTTAGTTTTTACATGAAGATGTTTCGTTTTTCAACATGGGCCTCAAAAGCTCTCCAAATATCCACTTGCAGATTCTAGAAAAAGAGTGTTTCCAAACTCCTCAGTCAAAAGAAAGTTTCAATTGTGTGAGATGAAAGCACACATCACTCCGAAGTTTCTTAGAAAGCTTCCGTCTAGTTTTTATGGGAAGATGTTTCTCTTTCACCATTAGCCTCAAACGGATCAGAATTCTCCCTTTGCAGATTGTACAATAAGCCTCTTTCCAATCTGCTCAATCAAAAGAAAGTTTCAACTCTGTGAGGTGAATGCACACATCACAAGGGAGTTTCTCAGAAAGCTCCTGTCTAGTTTTTGTGTGAAGATACTTCGTATTTCACCACAGGCCATAAGGGGCTCACAAATATCCCTTTGCAGGTTCTACAAAAAGACTGTTTCCAAACTGCTCAATCAAAAGAAAGGTTCAACTCTGTGACGTGAATGGACACATCACAAAAAATTTCTCGGAATGATTCTGTCTAGTTTTTATTTGCTGATACTCCCTTTTTCACCATAGGCCTCAAACCGCTCATAAATAACCCTTTGCAGATTCTACAAAAAGAGTGTTTCCAAACTACTCAATCACAAGAAAGCTTCAACTCTGTGACATGAATTCACACATCACAAAGAAGTTTTTCAGAAATCTTCTGTCTACTTTTTATGTGAGGCTATTTCTTGTTCACCATAGGCCTCAAGCAGCTAAGAAATTTCCCTCTGCAGCTTCTACAAAAGACTGGTTCCAAACTGCTCAACTGAAAGGAAGGTTGAATTCTGTGACATGAATTCACACATCACAAAGAGGTTTCTCAGAAATCTTCTGTCTACTTTTTATGTGAAGATATTTCATATTTCAACAAAGGCCATAAAGGGCTCACAAATATCCCTTTGCAGATTCTAAGAAATGACATTTTCCAAAATCCTCAATCAAAAGAAAGGTTCCACTCTGTGCGATGAATGGACACATCACAAAGAAGTTTCTCAGAAAGCTACTGTGTCGTTTTTATGTGAAGACCGTTTCCTTTTTCACTCTAGGCCTTAAAACTCTCTAAATATACATTCACAGATTCTACAAAAAGACTGATTCCAAACTGCTCAATCAGAAGAAAGGTTCAATTCCGTGTGACAAACGTGCACATCACAAAGAAATTTGTCAGAAAGCTTCTGTCTAGTTTTCATGTGAAGATATTTATTTTTCACCATTGGCCCCAAACGGCTCAGAAATATCCCTTTGCAGTTTGTAGGAAAAGACTGTTTCCAAACTGCTCAATGAGAAGAAATGGTCAACTATTAGAGATGAATGGAAATGTCACAAAGAGTTTTCTCAAAAAGCTTCTGTCTACATTTTTTGTGAAGGTATTTCCTTTGGCACCGTAGGCCATAAACCACTCACAAACATAACTCCGCTTATACTACCAAGAGACTTTCTCCAAATTGCTAAATCAAAAGAAACGTTCAACTCTGTGAGATGAATACACACATCAAAAAGAAGTTTCTCAAAATGCTTCTGTCTAGTTTTTATGTGAAGATATTTCCTTCTTCACCGTAGGCCGCAAATTGTTCCAGATATCCATTTGCGGATTCTACAAAAAGAATGTTTCCAAACTGGTCAATCAACAGAAAGGCTCAACTCTGTGAGACGAAAGCACACATCACAAAGAAGTTTCTCAGAAAGCTTCTGTCTGGTTACTCTGTGAAGATATTTCTTTTTTCACCACAGTCTTTAAGCCACTCAAAAATATCTGTCTGCAGACACTACAAAAAGACTGTTTCCAAACTGGCCCATATAGCATGTTTCAACTATGTGAAAGGAATGCACTCATCAAAGAGAAGTTTCTTAGAATTCTTCTGTCTAGTTTTTATCTCAAGATTATTCCTATTTTGCCATAAGAATCAAGGGGCTCACAAATATCCCTTTGCGGATTCTACAAAAGTTCTGTTTACAAACCTCTCAATCAAAAGAAACGTTCAACATTGTGAGATGAATGAACACATCACAAAGAAGTTTCTCAGAATGCTTCTGTCTAGATTTTATGTGAGGATATTTCCATTTTCACCTTAGGCCACAAAGCGCTCCAAACATCCCTTTGCAGATGATACGAAAAGACTGTTTCCAAACTGCTCAATCAAAAGAAATTTACAACTCTGTGAGATGAAAGCACCCATCACAAAAAAGTTTCTCAGATATCTTCTGTCTAGTTATTATGTGAAGATATTTTCTTTTTCACCATAGTCTTTAAACCACTCAAAAATATCCTTCTGCAGATACTACAAAAAGACTGTTTCCAAACTGGTCCATCAAAGAATGTTTCAACTCTGTGAGATGAATGGACTCATCACAAAGAAGTTTCTCAGAATTCTTCTGTCTAGTTTAAATGTGAAGATATTTCTCTTTCACCACAGACCTCAAATGGCTCAGAAATATGCCATTGCAGATTGCAGAAAAAGACTGTCTCTAAACTGCTCAAATAAAATAAAGTTTCAACACTGTGAGATGAATGCACACATCACAAAGAAGTTTCTCAGAAAGCTCCTGTCTAGTTTCTATGTGAAGATATTTACTATTTCACTATAGGCTTCAAAGGTCTCAAAAATATCCCTTTGCAGATTCTACAAAAATACGGTTTCCACAGTGCTGAATTAAAAGAAACCTTCAACTCTGTCAGATGAATGGAGACATCACAAAGAAGTTCCTCGGAATGCTTCGGTCTACTTTTCATGTGAAGATATTTCCAGTTTCACCGTAGGCCTCAAAGGGCTAAGAAATATCCCTTTGCAGATTCTAAAAGACGACCGTTTCCATACTTCTCAATCAAAAGAATGGTTAAATTCTCTGAGGTTAATGCCCACGTCAGAATGAAGTTTCTCAGAATTCTTCTCTTTAGTTTTTATGAGAAGATATTTCCTTTTTCACCACTGGCCTCAAAGCACTCCTAATATCCATTTACAGTTTCACAAAAAGAGTGTTTCCAAACAGCTCAATCAAAAGAAAGTGTTTAACTCTGTGAGGTGAAAGCACACATCTCAATGAAGTTTCTCAGAAAGCTTCTGTCTAGTTTATATGTGAAGAAGATTCCTATTTCACCATAGGCAATAAAGGGCTCACAAATATTTTTTGCAGATTCTACAAAAAGACTGTGTCCAAACTGCTCAAAAAAAAGAAAGTTTTAACTCTGTTAGATTAACGGACACATCGAAAAGTAGTTTCTCAGAAAACTTCTGTCTAGTTTTTATGTGAAGATACTTCACATTGCAGCATAGTACTCAATGGGCTCAGAAATATCCCTTGGCAGATTCTACAATAGGACTGTTTCAAAACTGCTCAATCCAAAGAAAGTTTCAACTATGTGAGATGAATGCACACATCACAAAGAAGTTCCTCAGAATGCTTCTGTTTAGTTTTTACGTGAAGATGTTTCGTTTTTCAACATGGGCCTCAGGAGCTCTCCAAATATCCATTTGCAGATTCTAGAAAAAGAGTGTTTCCAAACTCCTCAATCAAAAGAAAGTTTCAATTCCGTGAGATGAAAGCACACATCACACCGAAGTTTCTTAGAAAGCTTCCGTCTAGTTTTTATGGGAAGATATTTCACTTTCACCAGAAGCCTCAAACGGATCAGAATTCTCCCTTTGCAGATTGTACAATAAGCCTCTTTCCAATCTGTTCAATCAAAAGAAAGTTTCAACTCTGTGAGGTGAATGCACACATCACAAGGGAGTTTCTCAGAAAGCTCCTGTCTAGTTTTTATGTGAAGATATTTCGTATTTCACCACAGGCCATAAGGGGCTCACAAATATCCCTTTGCAGGTTCTACAAAAAGACTGTTTCCAAACTGCTCAATCAAAAGAAAGGTTCAACTCTGTGACGTGAATGGACACATCACAAAAAATTTCTTGGAATGATTCTGTCTAGTTTTTATGTGAAGATACTTCCTTTTTCACCAAGGGCCTCAAATATCTCCAAATATCAATTTGCAGATTCTACAGAAAGACTTCCCAAACTGCTCAATCAAAAGAAAGGTTCAACACAGTGAGATGAAGGCACACATCACAAAGAAGTTTCTCAGAAATCTTCTGTCTACTTTTTATGTGAGGCTATTTCTTGTTCACCATAGGCCTCAAGCAGCTAAGAAATTTCCCTCTGCAGCTTCTACAAAAGACTGGTTCCAAACTGCTCAACTGAAAGGAAGGTTGAAATCTGTGACATGAATTCACACATCACAAAGAGGTTTCTCAGAAATCTTCTGTCTAGTTTTTATGTGAAGATATTTCATATTTCAACATAGGCCATAAAGGGCTCACAAATATCCCTTTGTAGATTCTAAGAAAAGACATTTTCCAAACTCCTCAATCAAAAGAAAGGTTTAACTCTGTGAGATGAATGGACACATCACAAAGAAGTTTCTTAGAAAGCTACTGCGTCGTTTTTATGTGAAGACGTTTCCTTTTTCACTCTAGGCCTTAAAACTCTCTAAATATACATTCATAGATTCTACAAAAAGACTGATTCCAAACTGCGCAATCAGAAGAAATGTTCAATTCCGTGTGACAAACGTGCACATCACAAAGAAATTTGTCAGAAAGCTTCTGTCTAGTTTTCATGTGAAGATATTTATTTTTCACCATTGGCCCCAAACGGCTCAGAAATATCCCTTTGCAGTTTGTAGGAAAAGACTGTTTCCAAACTGCTCAATGAGAAGAAATGGTCAACTATTAGAGATGAATGGACATGTCACAAAGAGTTTTCTCAAAAAGCTTCTGTCTACATTTTATGTGAAGGTATTTCCTTTGGCACCGTAGGCCTTAAACCACTCACAAACATAACTCCGCTTATACTACCAAGAGACTTTCTCCAAATTGCTAAATCAAAAGAAACGTTGAACTCTGTGAGATGAATACACACATCAAAAATAAGTTTCTCAAAATGCTTCTGTCTAGTTTTTATGTGAAGATATTTCCTTCTTCACCGTAGGCCACAAATTGCTCCAAATATCCATTTACGGATTCTACAGAAAGAATGTTTCCAAACTGGTCAATCAACAGAAAGGCTCAACTCTGTGAGACGAAAGCACACATCACAAAGAAGTTTCTCAGACAGCTTCTGTCTGGTTGCTATGTGAAGATGTTTCCTTTTTCACCATAGTCTTTAAGCCACTCTAAAATACCTGACTGCAGACTCTGCAAAAAGACTGTTTCCAAACTGGCCCATATAGCATGTTTCAACTATGTGAAATGAATGCACTCATCAAAAAGAAGTTTCTCAGGATTCTTCTGTCTAGTTTTTATCTCAAGATAATTCCTATTTTGCCATAGGAATCAAGGGGCTCACAAATATCCCTTTGCAGATTCTACAAAAGTTGTGTTTACAAACCTCTCAATCAAAAGAAACGTTCAACATTGTGAGATGAATGAACACATCACAAAGAAGTTTCTCAGAATACTTCTGTCTAGTTTTTATGTGAAGATATTTCCATTTTCAACTTAGGCCACAAAGTGCTCCAAATATCCATTTGCAGATTATATGAAAAGACTGTTTCCAAACTGCTCAATCAAAAGAAATTTTCAACTCTGTGAGATGAAAGCACACATCACAAAAAAGTTTCTCAGAAATCTTCTGTCTAGTTTTTATGTGAAGATATTTCCTTTTCCACCATAGGCCTTAAACCGCTCACAAATATCCTTCTGCAGATACTATAAAAAGACTGTTTCCAAACTGCTCCATCAAAAGAAAAGTTCACCTCTCTGAGGTGAATGCACACATCAGAAAGAAGTTTCTCAGAATTCTTCTGTCTAGTTTCAATGTGAAGATATTTCTTTTTCACCATAGACCTCAAATGGCTCAGAAATATACCTTTGCAGATTGCAAAAAAAGACTGTCTCTAAACTGCTCAAATAAAATAAAGTCTCAACACTGTGAGATGAATGCGCACATCACAAAGAAGTTTCTCAGAAAGCTCCTGTCTAGTTTTTATGTGAAGATATTTAGTATTTCACTATAGGCTTCAAATGTCTCAAAAATATCCCTTTGCAGATTCTACAAAAATATGGTTTCCAAAGTGCTGAATTAAAAGAAACTTTCAACTCTGTCAGATGAATGGAGACATCACAAAGAAGTTCCTCAGAATGCTTCGGTCTACTTTTCATGTGAAGATATTTCCAGTTTCACCGGAGGCCTCAAAGGGCTAAGAAATATCCCTTTCCAGATTCTAAAAGACGACCGTTTCCATACTTCTCAATCAAAAGAAAGGTTAAATTCTCTGAGGTTAATGCCCACGTCAGAATGAAGTTTCTCAGAATTCTTCTGTTTAGTTTTTATGTGAAGATATTTCCTTTGTCACCATTGGCCTCAAAGCCCTGCTAATATCCATTTACAGATTTCACAAAAAGAGTGTTTCCAAACAGCTCAATCAAAAGAAAGTGTTTAACTCTGTGAGGTGAAAGCACACATCTCCAAGAAGTTTCTCAGAAAGCTTCTGTCTAGTTTATATGTGAAGAAGATTCCTATTTCACCATAGGCAATAAAGGGCTCGCAAATATTTTTTGCAGATTCTACAAAAAGACTGTATCCAAACTGCTCAATGAAAAGAAAGTTTTAACTCTGTTAGATTAATGGACACATCGAAAGGTAGTTTCTCAGAAATCTTCTGTCTAGTTTTTATGTGAAGATACTTCACAGTGCATCATAGTACTCAATGGGCTCAGAAATATCCCTTGGCAGATTCTACAAAAGGACTGTTTCAAAACTGCTCAATACAAAGAAAGTTTCAACTATGTGAGATGAATGCACACATCACAAAGAAGTTCCTCAGAATGCTTCTGTTTAGTTTTTACGTGAAGATGTTTCGTTTTTCAACATGGGCCTCAGAAGCTCTCCAAATATCCATTTGCAGATTCTAGAAAAAGAGTGTTTCCAAACTCCTCAATGCAAAGAAAGTTTCAATTCCGTGAGATGAAAGCACACATCACAACGAAGTTTCTTAGAAAGCTTCCGTCTAGTTTTTATGGGAATATGTTTCTCTTTCACCATAAGCCTCAAACGGATCAGAATTCTCCCTTTGCAGATTGTACAATAAGACTCTTTCCAATCTGCTCAATCAAAAGAAAGTTTCAACTCTGTGAGGTGAATGCACACATCACAAGAGAGTTTCTCAGAAACCTCCTGTCTAGTTTTTATGTGAAGATATTTCGTATTTCACCACAGGCCATAAGGGGCTCACAAATATCCCTTTGCAGGTTCTACAAAAAGACTGTTTCCAAACTGCTCAATCAAAAGAAAGGTTCAACTCTGTGACGTGAATGGACACATCGCAGAAAATTTCTTGGAATGATTCTGTCTAGTTTTTATGTGAAGATACTTCCTTTTTCACCAAGGGCCTCAAATATCCCCAAATATCCATTTGCAGATTCTACAGAAAGACTTCCCAAACTGCTCAATCAAAAGAAAGGTTCAACACAGTGAGATGAAGGCACACATCACAAAGAAGTTTCTCAGAAATCTTCTGTCTACTTTTTATGTGAGGCTATTTCTTGTTCACCATAGGCCTCGAGCAGCTAAGAAATTTCCCTCTGCAGCTTCTACAAAAGACTGGTTCCAAACTGCTCAACTGAAAGGAAGGTTGAATTCTGTGACATGAATTCACACATCACAAAGAGGTTTTTCAGAAATCTTCTGTCTACTTTTTATGTGAAGATATTTCATATTTCAACAAAGGCCATAAAGGGCTCACGAATATCCCTTTGCAGATTCTAAGAAAAGACATTTTCCAAACTCCTCAATCAAAAGAAAGGTTTCACTCTGTGCAATGAATGGACACATCACAAAGAAGTTTCTCAGAAAGCTACTGTGTAGTTTTTATGTGAAGATATTTCCTTTTTCACTATAGGCCTTAAAACACTCCAAATATACATTTGCAGATTCTACAAAAAGACTGTTTCCAAACTGCTCAATCAAATGAAAGGTTCAACTCTGTGATACAAACGTGCACAACACAGAGGAGTTTCTCAGAAAGCTTCTGTCTAGTTTTCATGTGAAGATATTTATTTTTCACCATTGGCCCCAAACGGCTCAGAAATATCCCTTTGCAGTTTGTAGGAAAAGACTGTTTCCAAACTGCTCAATGAAAAGAAATGGTCAACTATTAGCGATGAATGGAAATGTCACAAAGAGTTTTCTCAAAAAGCTTCTGTCTACATTTTATGTGAAGGTATTTCCTTTGGCACCGTAGGCCTTAAACCACTCACAAACATAACTCCGCTTATACTACCAAGAGACTTTCTCCAAATTGCTAAATCAAAAGAAACGTTCAACTCTGTGAGATGAATACACACATCAAAAAGAAGTTTCTCAAAATGCTTCTGTCTAGTTTTTATGTGAAGATATTTCCTTCTTCACAGTAGGCCGCAAATTGCTCCAAATATCCATTTGCGGATTCTACAGAAAGAATGTTTCCAAACTGGTCAATCAACAGAAAGGCTCAACTCTGTGAGACGAAAGCACACATCACAAAGGAGTTTCTCAGAAAGCTTCTGTCTGGTTACTCTGTGAAGATATTTCTTTTTTCACCACAGGCTTTAAGCCACTCAAAAATATCTGTCTGCAGACACTACAAAAAGACTGTTTCCAAACTGGCCCATATAGCATGTTACAACTATGTGAATTGAATGCACTCATCAAAGAGAAGTTTCTCCGAATTCTTCTGCCTTTTTTTTATTTCAAGATAATTCCTATTTCACCATAGGAATCAATGGGCTCACAAATATCCCTTTGCAGATTCTACAAAAGTTCTGTTTCCAAACTGCTCAATCAAAAGAAACGTTCAACATTGTAAGATGAATGCACACATCACAAAGAAGTTTCTCAGAATGCTTCTGTCTAGTTTTTATGTGAAGATGTTTCCATTTTCACCTTAGGCCACAAAGCGCTCCAAACATCCGTTTGCAGATGATACGAAAGGACTGTTTCCAAACTGCTCAATCAAAAGAAATTTTCAACTCTGTGAGATGAGAGCACACATCACAAAAAAGTTTCTCAGAAATCTTCTGTCTAGTTTTTATGTGAAGATATTTCCTTTTTCAGCATAGTCCTCACACCGCTCACAAATATCCTTCTGCAGATACTAGAAAAAGACTGTTTCCAAACTGCTCCATCAAAAGAAAATTTCACCTACCTGAGATGAATGCACACATCATAAAGAAGTTTCTCAGAATCCTTCTGTCTAGTTTAAATGTGAAGATATTTCTCTTTCACCACAGACCTCAAATGGCTCAGAAATATGCCTTTGCAGATTGCAGAAAAAGACTGTCTCCAAACTGCTCAAATAAAATAAAGTTTCAACACTGTGAGATGAATGCACACATCACAAAGAAGTTTCTCAGAAAGCTCCTGTCTAGTTTTTATGTGAAGATATTTACTATTTCACTATAGGCTTCAAATGTCTCAAAAATATCCCTTTGCAGATTCTACAAAAATATGGTTTCCAAAGTGCTGAATTAAAAGAAACCTTCAACTCTGTCAGATGAATGGAGACATCACAAAGAAGTTCCTCAGAATTCTTCGGTCTACTTTTCCTGTGAAGATATTTCCAGTTTCACCGTAGGCCTCAAAGGGCTAAGAAATATCCCTTTCCAGATTCTAAAAGACGACCGTTTCCATACTTGTCAATCAAAAGAAAGGTTAAATTCTCTGAGGTTAATGCGCACATCAGAATGAAGTTTCTCAGAATTCTTCTGTTTAGTTTTTATGAGAAGATATTTCCTTTGTCACCATTGGCCTCAAAGCACTCCTAATATCCATTTACAGATTTCACAAAAAGAGTGTTTCCAAACAGCTCAATCAAAAGAAAGTGTTTAACTCTGTGAGGTGAAAGCACACATCTCAATGAAGTTTCTCAGAAAGCTTCTGTCTAGTTTATATGTGAAGAAGATTCCTATTTCACCATAGGCAATAAAGGGCTCACAAATATGTTTTGCAGATTCTACAAAAAGACTGTGTCCAAACTGCTCAATAAAAAGAAAGTTTTAACTCTGTTAGATTAACGGACACATCGAAAAGTAGTTTCTCAGAAAACTTCTGTCTAGTTTTTATGTGAAGATACTTCACAGTGCATCATAGTACTCAATGGGCTCAGAAATATCCCTTGGCAGATTCTACAAAAGGACTGTTTCAAAACTGCTCAATCCAAAGAAAGTTTCAACTATGTGTGATGAATGCACACATCACAAAGAAGTTCCTCAGAATGCTTCTGTTTAGTTTTTACGTGTAGATGTTTCGTTTTTCAACATGGGCCTCAGAAGCTCTCCAAATATCCATTTGCAGATTCTAGAAAAAGAGTGTTTCCAAACTCCTCAATCAAAAGAAAGTTTCAATTCCGTGAGATGAAAACACACATCACACCGAAGTTTCTTAGAAAGCTTCCGTCTAGTTTTTATGGGAATATGTTTCTCTTTCACCATAAGCCTCAAACGCATCAGAATTCTCCCTTTGCAGATTGTACAATAAGCCTCTTTCCAATCTGCTCAATCAAAAGAAAGTTTCAACTCTGTGAGGTGAATGCACACATCACAAGGGAGTTTCTCAGAAAGCTCCTGTCTAGTTTTTATGTGAAGATATTTCGTATTTCACCACAGGCCATAAGGCGCTCACAAAAATCCCTTTGCAGGTTCTACAAAAAGAGTGTTTCCAAACTGCTCAATCAAAAGAAAGGTTCAACTCTGTGACGTGAATGGACACATCACAAACAATTTCTTGGAATGATTCTGTCTAGTTTTTATGTGAAGATACTTGCTTTTTCACCAAGGGCCTCAAATATCTCCAAATATCCATTTGCAGATTCTACACAAAGACTTCCCAAACTGCTCAATCAAAAGAAAGGTTCAACACAGGGAGATGAAGACACACATCACAAAGAAGTTTCTCAGAAATCTTCTGTCTGGTTTTTATGTGAAGTTATTTCTTTTTCACCATAGGCCTGAATCAGCTAAGAAATTTCCCTTTGCACCTTCTACAAAAGACTGTTTCCAAACTGCTCAATCGAAAGAAAGGTTGAATTCTGTGACATGAATTCACACATCACAAAGAAGTTTCTCAGAAATCTTCTGTCTATTTTTTATGTGAAGATATTTCATATTTCAACATAGGCCATAAAGGGCTCACAAATATCCCTTTGTAGATTCTAAGAAAAGACATTTTCCAAACTCCTCAATCAAAAGAAAGGTTTAACTCTGTGAGGTGAATGGACACATCACAAAGAAGTTTCTTAGAAAGCTACTGTGTCGTTTTTATGTGAAGACGTTTCCATTTTCACTCTAGGCCTTAAAACTCTCTAAATATGCATTCACAGATTCTACAAAAAGACTGATTCCAAACTGCTCAATCAGAAGAAAGGTTCAGTTCCGTGTGACAAACGTGCACATCAGAAAGAAATTTGTCAGAAACCTTCTGTCTAGTTTTCATGTGAAGATATTTATTTTTCACCATTGGCCCCAAACGGCTCAGAAATGTCCCTTTGCAGTTTGTAGGAAAAGACTGTTTCCAAACTGCTCAATGAGAAGAAATGGTCAACTATTAGAGATGAATGGAAATGTCACAAAGAGTTTTCTCAAAAACCTTCTGTCTGCATTTTATGTGAAGGTATTTCCTTTGGCACCGTAGGCCTTAAACCACTCACAAACATAACTCCGCTTATACTACCAAGAGACTTTCTCCAAATTGCTAAATCAAAAGAAACGTTCAACTCTGTGAGATGAATACACACATCAAAAAGAAGTTTCTCAAAATGCTTCTGTCTAGTTTTTATGTGAAGATATTTCCTTCTTCACCGTAGGCCGCAAATTGCTCCAAATATCCATTTGCGGATTCTACAGAAAGAATGTTTCCAAACTGGTCAATCAACAGAAAGGCTCAACTCTGTGAGACGAAAGCACACATCACAAAGTAGTTTCTCAGAAAGCTTCTGTCTGGTTACTCTGTGAAGATATTTCTTTTTTCACCACAGTCTTTAAGCCACTCAAAAATATCTGTCTGCAGACACTACAAAAAGACTGTTTCCAAACTGGCCCATATAGCATGTTTCAACTATGTGAAATGAATGCACTCATCAAAGAGAAGTTTCTCCGAATTCTTCTGTCTAGTTTTTATCTCAAGAGAATTCCTATTTTGCCATAGGAATCAAGGGGCTCACAAATATCCCTTTGCAGATTCTACAAAAGTTCTGTTTACAAACCTCTCAATCAAAAGAAACGTTCAACATTGTGAGATGAATGAACACATCACAAAGAAGTTTCTCAGAATGCTTCTGTCTAGATTTTATGTGAAGATATTTCCATTTTCACCTTAGGCCACAAAGCGCTCCACACATCCCTTTGCAGATGATACGAAAAGACTGTTTCCAAACTGCTCAATCAAAAGAAATTTTCAACTCTGTGAGATGAAAGCACCCATCACAAAAAAGTTTCTCAGAAATCTTCTGTCTAGTTTTTATGTGAAGATATTTCCTTTTTCACCACAGGCCTTAAACTGCTCACAAATATCCTTCTGCAGATACTATAAAAAGACTGTTTCCAAACTGCTCCATCAAAAGAAAAGTTCACCTCTCTGAGGTGAATGCACACATCACAAAGAATTTTCTCAGACTTCTTCTGTCTAGTTTAAATGTGAAGATATTTCTCTTTCACCACAGACCTCAAATGGCTCAGAAATATGCCTTTGCAGATTGCAGAAATAGACTGTCTCTAAACTGCTCAAATAAAATAAAGTTTCAACACTGTGAGATGAATGCACACATCACAAAGAAGTTGCTCAGAAAGCTTCTGTCTAGTTTTTATGTGAAGATATTTACTATTTCACTATAGGCTTCAAATGTCTCACAAATATCCCTTTGCAGATTCTACAAAAATATGGTTGCCGAACTTCTGAATTAAAAGAAGCATTCAACTCTGTCAAATGAATGGAGACATCACAAAGAGGTTCCTCAGAATGCTTCGGTCTACTTTTCATGTGAAGATATTTCCAGTTTCACCGTAGGCCTCAAAGGGCTAAGAAATATCCCTTTCCAGATTCTAAAAGACGACCGTTTCCATACTTCTCAATCAAAAGAAAGGTTACATTCTGTGAGGTTAATGCACACATCAGAATGAAGTTTCTCAGAATTCTTCTGTTTAGTTTTTATGTGAAGATATTTCCTTTGTCACAATTGGCCTCAAAGCACTCCTAATATCCATTTACAGATTTCACAAAAAGAGTGTTTCCAAACAGCTCAATCAAAAGAAAGTGTTTAACTCTGTGAGGTGAAAGCACACATCTCAAAGAAGTTTCTCAGTAAGCTTCTGTCTAGTTTATATGTGAAGAAGATTCCTATTTCACCATAGGCAATAAAGGGCTCGCAAATATTTTTTGCAGATTCTACAAAAAGACTGTATCCAAACTGCTCAATAAAAAGAAAGTTTTAACTCTGTTTGATTAATGGACACATCGAAAAGTAGTTTTTCAGAAAACTTCTGTCTAGTTTTTATGTGAAGATACTTCACAGTGCATCATAGTACTCAATGGGCTCAGAAATATCCCTTGGCAGATTCTACAAAAGGAGTGTTTCAAAACTGCTCAATTCAAAGAAAGTTTCAACTATG
Source organism: Homo sapiens (assembly GCF_000001405.40). NCBI lineage: Eukaryota > Metazoa > Chordata > Mammalia > Primates > Hominidae > Homo > Homo sapiens. Next base: position 16,299,292 of record NC_000014.9, on the reverse strand, counting down.
TGAGATGAATGCACACATCACAAAGAAGTTCCTCAGAATGCTTCTGTTTAGTTTTTATGTGAAGATATTTCGTTTTTCACCATGGGCCTCAAAAGCTCTCCAAATATCCATTTGCAGATTCTAGAAAAAGAGTGTTTCCAAACTCCTCAATCAAAAGAAAGTTTCAATTCTGTGAGATGAAAGCACACATCACAAAGAAGTTTCTTAGAAAGCTTCCGTCTAGTTTTTATGGGAAGATGTTTCTCTTTCACCATAAGCCTCAAACGGATCAGAATTCTCCCTTTGCAGTTTGTACAATAAGCCTCTTTCCAATCTGCTCAATCAAAAGAAAGTTTCAACTCTCTGAGGTGAATGCACACATCACAAGGGAGTTTCTCAGAAAGCTCCTGTCTAGTTTTTATGTGAAGATATTTCGTATTTCACCACAGGCCATAAGGGGCTCACAAATATCCCTTTGCAGGTTCTACAAAAAGACTGTTTCCAAACTGCTCAATCAAAAGAAAGGTTCAACTCTGTGACGTGAATGGACACATCACAGAAAATTTCTTGGAATGATTCTGTCTAGTTTTTGTGGGAAGATACTTCCTTTTTCACCAAGGGCCTCAAATATCTCCAAATATCCATTTGCAGATTCTACAGAAAGACTTCCCAAACTGCTCAATCAAAAGAAAGGTTCAACACAGTGAGATGAAGGCACACATCACAAAGAAGTTTCTCAGAAATCTTCTGTCTAGTTTTTATGTGAGGCTATTTCTTGTTCACCATAGGCCTCAAGCAGCTAAGAAATTTCCTCTGCAGCTTCTACAAAAGACTGGTTCCAAACTGCTCAACTGAAAGGAAGGTTGAATTCTGTGACATGAATTCACACATCACAAAGAGGTTTTTCAGAAATCTTCTGTCTACTTTTTATGTGAAGATATTTCATATTTCAACAAAGGCCATAAAGGGCTCACAAATATCCCTTTGCAGATTCTAAGAAAAGACATTTTCCAAACTCCTCAATCAAAAGAAAGGTTCCACTCTGTGCGATGAATGGACACATCACAAAGAAGTTTCTCAGAAAGCTACTGTGTCGTTTTTATGTGAAGACGTTTCCATTTTCACTCTAGGCCTTAAAACTCTCTAAATATGCATTCACAGATTCTACAAAAAGACTGATTCCAAACTGCTCAATCAGAAGAAAGGTTCAATTCCGTGTGACAAACGTGCACATCACAAAGAAATTTGTCAGAAACCTTATGTCTAGTTTTCATGTGAAGATGGTTATTTTTCACCATTGGCCCCAAACGGCTCAGAAATATCCCTTTGCAGTTTGTAGGAAAAGACTGTTTCCAAACTGCTCAATGAAAAGAAATGGTCAACTATTAGAGATGAATGGAAATGTCACAAAGAGTTTTCTCAAAAAGCTTCTGTCTACATTTTATGTGAAGGTATTTCCTTTGGCACCGTAGGCCTTAAACCACTCACAAACATAACTCCGCTTATACTACCAAGAGACTTTCTCCAAATTGCTAAATCAAAAGAAACGTTCAACTCTGTGAGAAGAATACACACATCAAAAAGAAGTTTCTCAAAATGCTCCTGTCTAGTTTTTCTGTGAAGATATTTCCTTTTTCACCGTAGGCCACAAATTGCTCCAAATATCCATTTGCAGATTCTACAAAAAGAATGTTCCCAAACTGGTCAATCAAAAGAAAGGCGCAACTCTGTGAGACGAAAGCACACATCACAAAGAAGTTTCTCGGAAAGCCTCTGTCTGGTTACTCTGTGAAGATATTTCTTTTTTCACCACAGTCTTTAAGCCACTCAAAAATATCTGTCTGCAGACACTACAAAAAGTCTGTTTTCAAACTGGCCCATATAGCATGTTTCAACTATGTGAAATGAATGCACTCATCAAAGAGAAGTTTCTCCGAATTCTTCTGTCTAGTTTTTATCTCAAGATAATTCCTATTTTGCCATAGGAATCAATGGGCTCACAAATATCCCTTTGCAGATTCTACAAAAGTTCTGTTTCCAAACTGCTCAATCAAAAGAAACGTTCAACATTGTGAGATGAATGCACACATCACAAAGAAGTTTCTCGGAATGCTTCTGTCTAGATTTTATGTGAAGATATTTCCATTTTCACCTTAGGCCACAAAGCGCTCCAAACATCCCTTTGCAGATGATACGAAAAGACTGTTTCCAAACTGCTCAATCAAAAGAAATTTTCAACTCTGTGAGATGAAAGCACTCATCACAAAAAAGTTTCTCAGAAATCTCCTGTCTAGTTTTTATGTGAAGATATTTCCTTTTTCACCATAGGCCTTAAACTGCTCACAAATATCCTTCTGCAGATACTAAAAAAATACTGTTTCCAAACTGCTCCATCAAAAGAAAAGTTCACCTCTCTGAGATGAATGCACACATCACAAAGAAGTTTCTCAGAATTCTTCTGTCTAGTTTAAATGTGAAGATATTTCTTTTTCACATAGACCTCAAATGGCTCAGAAATACACCTTTGCAGAATGCAGGAAAAGACTGTTTCTAAACTGCTCAAACAAAATAAAGTTTCAACACTGTGAGATGAATGCACACATCACAAAGAAGTTTCTCAGAAATCTCCTGTCTAGTTTCTATGTGAAGATATTTACTATTTCACTATAGGCTTCAAAGGTCTCAAAAATATCCCTTTGCAGATTCTACAAAAATACGGTTTCCACAGTGCTGAATTAAAAGAAACCTTCAACTCTGTCAGATGAATGGAGACATCACAAAGAAGTTACTCAGTATTCTTCGGTCTACTTTTCATGTGAAGATATTTCCAGTTTCACCGTAGGCCTCAAAGGGCTAAGAAATATCCCTTTCCAGATTCTAAAAGACGACCGTTTCCATACTTCTCAATCAAAAGAAAGGTTAAATTCTCTGAGTTTAATGCCCACGTCAGAATGAAGTTTCTCAGAATTCTTCTGTTTAGTTTTTATGTGAAGATATTTCCTTTGTCACCATTGGCCTCGAAGCACTCCTAATATCCATTTACAGATTTCACAAAAAGAGTGTTTCCAAACAGCTCAATCAAAAGAAAGTGTTTAACTCTGTGAGGTGAAAGCACACATCTCCAAGAAGTTTCTCAGAAAGCTTCTGTCTAGTTTATATGTGAAGAAAATTCCTACTTCACCATAGGCAATAAAGGGCTCACAAATATTTTTTGCAGATTCTACAAAAAGACCGTATCCAAACTGCTCAATAAAAAGAAAGTTTCAACTCTGTTAGATTAATGGACACATAAAAGAGTAGTTTCTCAGAAAACTTCTGTCTAGTTTTTATGTGAAGATATTTCACATTTCTCCATAGTACTCAATGGACTCAGAAATATCCCTTTGCAGATTCTACAAAAAGACTGTTTCCAAACTGCTCAATCCAAAGAAAGTTTCAACTCTGTGAGATTAATGCACACATCACAAAGAAGTTTCTCAGAATGCTTCTGTTTAGTTTTTACGTGAAGATGTTTCGTTTTTCAACATGGGCCTCAAAAGCTCTCCAATTATCCATTTGCAGATTCTAGAAAAAGAGGGTTTCCAAACTCCTCAATCAAAAGAAAGTTTCAATTCTGTGAGATGAAAGCACACATCACAACGAAGTTTCTTAGAAAGCTTCCGTCTAGATTTTGTGGGAAGATGTTTCTCTTTCACCAGAAGCCTCAAACGGATCAGAATTCTCCCTTTGCAGATTGTACAATAAGCCTCTTTCCAATCTGCTCATTCAAAAGAAAGTTTCAACTCTGTCAGGTGAATGCACACATCACAAGGGAGTTTCTCAGAAAGCTCCTGTCTAGTTTTTATGTGAATATATTTCGTATTTCACCACAGGCCATAAGGGGCTCACAAATATCCCTTTGCAGGTTCTACAAAAAGACTGTTTCCAAACTGCTCAATCAAAAGAAAGGTTCAACTCTGTGACGTGAATGGACACATCACAAAAAATTTCTCGGAATGATTCTGTCTAGTTTTTATGTGAAGATACTTCCTTTTTCACCATGGGCCTCAAATAGCTCCAAATATCCATTTGCAGATTCTACAAAAAGACTTTCCAAACTGCTCAATCAAAAGAAAGGTTCAACACTGTGAGACGAAAGCAAACATCACAAAGAAGTTTCTCAGAAATCTTCTGTCTACTTTTTATGTGAGGCTATTTCTTGTTCACCATAGGCCTCAAGCAGCTAAGAAATTTCCCTCTGCAGGTTCTACAAAAGACTGGTGCCAAACTGCTCAACTGAAAGGAAGGTTGAATTCTGTGACATGAATTCACACATCACAAAGAGGTTTTTCAGAAATCTTCTGTCTAGTTTTTATGTGAAGATATTTCATATTTCAACATAGGCCATAAAGGGCTCACAAATATCCCTTTGCAGATTCTAAGAAAAGACATTTCCCAAACTCCTTGATCAAAAGAAAGGTTTATCTCTGTGAGATGAATGGACACATCACAAGGAAGTTTCTTAGAAAGCTACTGTGTCGTTTTTATGTGAAGACGTTTCCTTTTTCACTCTAGGCCTTAAAACTCTCTAAATATACATTCACAGATTCTACAAAAAGACTGATTCCAAACTGCTCAATCAGAAGAAAGGTTCAACTCCGTGTGACAAACGGTGCACATCACAAAGAAATTTGTCAGAAAGCTTCTGTCTAGTTTTCATGTGAAGATATTTATTTTTCACCATTGGCCCCAAACGACTCAGAAATATCCCTTTGCAGTTTGTAGGAAAAGACTGTTTCCAAACTGCTCAATGAAAAGAAATGGTCAACTATTAGAGATGAATGGAAATGTCACAAAGAGTTTCCTCAAAAAGCTTCTGTCTACTTTTTATGTGAAGGTGTTTCCTTTTGCACCATAGGCCTTAAATCGCTCACAAATATAACTCCACTTGTACTACCAAGAGACTTTCTCCAAATTGCTAAATCCAAAGAAAGGTTCAACTCTGTGAGAAGAATGCACACATCACAAAGAAGTTTCTCAAAATGCTTCTGTCTAGTTTTTATGTGAAGATATTTCCTTTTTCACCATAGGTCTCAAATTGTTCCAAATATCCATTTGCAGATTCTACAAAAAGAATGTTTCCAAACTGGTCAATCAAAAGAAAGGCTCAAATCTGTGAGACAAAAACACACATTACAAAGTTTCTCAGAAAGCTTCTGTCTAGTTTCAATGTGAAGATATTTCTTTTTCACCATAGACCTCAAATGGCTCAGAAATATACCTTTGCAGATTGCAGTAAAAGACTGTTTCTAAACTGCTCAAACAAAATAAAGTTTCAACACTGTGTGATGAATGCACACATCACAAAGAAGTTTCTCAGAAAGCTTCTGTCTAGTTTTTATCTCAAGATTATTCCTATTTTGCCATAGGAATCAAGGGGCTCACAAATATCCCTTTGCGGATTCTACAAAAGTTCTGTTTACAAACCTCTCAATCAAAAGAAACCTTCAACATTGTGAGATGAATGAACACATCACAAAGAAGTTTCTCAGAATGCTTCTGTCTAGATTTTATGTGAAGATATTTCCATTTTCACCTTAGGCCACAGAGCGCTCCACACATCCCTTTGCAGATGATACGAAAAGACTGTTTCCAAACTGCTCAATCAAAAGAAATTTTCAACTCTGTGAGATGAAAGCAACCATCACAAAAAAGTTTCTCAGAAATCTTCTGTCTAGTTTTTATGTGAAGATATTTCCTTTTTCACCATAGTCCTTACACCGCTCACAAATATCCTTCTGCAGATACTAGAAAAAGACTGTTTCCAAACTGCTCCATCAAAAGAAAATTTCGCCTACCTGAGATGAATGCACACATCATAAAGAAGTTTCTCAGAATTCTTCTGTCTAGTTAAAATGTGAAGATATCTCTTTTTCACCATAGACCTCAAATGTCTCAGAAATATACCTTTGCAGATTGCAGAAAAAGACTGTTTCTGAACTGCTCAAACAAAATAAAGTTTCAACACTGTGAGATGAATGCACCACATCACAAAGAAGTTTCTCAGAAAGCTCCTGTCTAGTTTTTATGTGAAGATATTTACTATTTCACTATAGGCTTCAAATGTCTCAAAAATATCCCTTTGCAGATTCTACAAAAATATGGTTTCCAAAGTGCTGAATTAAAAGAAACTTTCAACTCTGTCAGATGAATGGAGACCTCACAAAGAAGTTCCTCAGAATGCTTCGGTCTACTTTTCATGTGAAGATATTTCCAGTTTCACCATATGCCTCAAAGGGCTAAGAAATATCCCTTTCCAGATTCTAAAAGACGACCGTTTCCATATTTCTCAATCAAAAGAAAGTTAAATTCTCTGAGGTTAATGCCCACGTCAGAATGAAAGTTTTCAGAATTCTTCTGTTTAGTTTTTACGTGAAGATATTTCCTTTGTCACAATTGGCCTCAAAGCCCTCCTAATATCCATTTACAGATTTCACAAAAAGAGTGTTTCCAAACAGCTCAATCAAAAGAAAGTGTTTAACTCTGTGAGGTGAAAGCACACATCTCAAAGAAGTTTCTCAGAAAGCTTCTGTCTAGTTTATATGTGAAGAAAATTCCTACTTCACCATAGGCAATAAAGGGCTCACAAATATTTTTTGCAGATTCTACAAAAAGACCGTATCCAAACTGCTCAATAAAAAGAAAGTTTCAACTCTGTTAGATTAATGGACACATCAAAGAGTAGTTTCTCAGGAAACTTCTGTCTAGTTTTTATGTGAAGATACTTCACAGTGCATCATAGTGCTCAATGGGCTCAGAAATATCCCTTGGCAGATTCTACAAAAGGACTGTTTCAAAACTGCTCAATCCAAAGAAAGTTTCAACTATGTGAGATGAATGCACACATCACAAAGAAGTTCCTCAGAATGCTTCTGTTTAGTTTTTACGTGAAGATATTTCGTTTTTCACCACGGGCCTCAAAAGCTCTCCAAATATCCATTTGCATATTCTAGAAAAAGAGTGTTTCCAAACTCCTCAATCAAAGGATAGTTTCAATTCTGTGAGACGAAAGCACACATCACAACGAAGTTTCTTAGAAAGCGTTCCGTCTAGTTTTTATGGGAAGTATGTTTCTCTTTCACCATTAGCCTCAAACGGATCAGAATTCTCCCTTTGCAGATTGTACAATAAGCCTCTTTCCAATCTGCTCAATCAAAAGAAAGTTTCAACTCTGTGAGGTGAATGCACACATCACAAGGGAGTTTCTCAGAAAGCTCCTGTCTAGTTTTTATGTGAAGATATTTCATATTTCACCACAGGCCATAAGGGGCTCACAAATATCTGTTTGCAGGTTCTACACAAAGACTGTTTCTAAACTGCTCAATCAAAGGAAAGGTTCAACTCTGTGACGTGAATGGACACATCACAAAAAATTTCTCGGAATGATTCTGTCTAGTTTTTATGTGAAGATACTTCCTTTATCACCAAGGGCCTCAAATATCTCCAAATATCCATTTGCAGATTCTACAGAAAGACTTCCCAAACTGCTCAATCAAAAGAAAGGTTCAACACAGTGAGATGAAGGCACACATCACAAAGAAGTTTCTCAGAAATCTTCTGTCTAGTTTTTATGTGAAGATATTTCTTTTTCACTATAGGCCTCAAACGGCTAAGAAATTTCCCTTTGCAGCTTCTACAAAAGACTGTTTCCAAACTGCTCAATCGAAAGAAAGGTTGAATTCTGTGACATGAATTCACACATCACAAAGAAGTTTTTCAGAAATCTTCTGTCTAGTTTTTATGTGAAGATATTTCATATTTCAACATAGGCCATAAAGGGCTCACAAATATCCCTTTGCAGATTCTAAGAGAAGACATTTTCCAAACTCCTCAATCAAAAGAAAGGTTTAACTCTGTGAGATGAATGGACACATCACAAAGAAGTTTCTTAGAAAGCTACTGTGTCGTTTTTATGTGAAGACGTTTCCTTTTTCACTCTAGGCCTTAAAACTCTCTAAATATACATTCACAGATTCTACAAAAAGACGGATTCCAAACTGCTCAATCAGAAGAAAGGTTCAATTCCGTGTGACAAACGTGCACATCACAAAGAAATTTGTCAGAAAGCTTCTGTCTAGTTTTCATGTGAAGATATTTATTTTTCACCATTGACCCCAAACGGCTCAGAAATATCCCTTTGCAGTTTGTAGGAAAAGACTGTTTCCAAACTGCTCAATGAAAAGAAATGGTCAACTATTAGAGATGAATGGAAATGTCACAAAGAGTTTTCTCAAAAAGCTTCTGTCTACATTTTATGTGAAGGTATTTCCTTTGGCACCGTAGGCCTTAAACCACTCACAAACATAACTCTGCTTATACTACCAAGAGACTTTCTCCAAATTGCAAAATCAAAAGAAACGTTCAACTCTGTGAGATGAATACACACATCAAAAAGAAGTTTCTCAAAATGCTTCTGTCTAGTTTTTATGTGAAGATATTTCCTTCTTCACCATAGGCCGCAAATTGCTCCAAATATCCATTTGCGGATTCTACAGAAATAATGTTTCCAAACTGGTCAATCAACAGAAAGGCTCAACTCTGTGAGACGAAAGCACACATCACAAAGAAGTTTCTCAGAAAGCTTCTGTCTGGTTATTCTGTTAAGATATTTCTTTTTTCACCACAGTCTTTAAGCCACTCAAAAATATCTGTCTGCAGACACTACAAAAAGACTGTTTCCAAACTGGCCCATATAGCATGTTTCAACTATGTGAAATGAATGCACTCATCAAAGAGAAGTTTCTAAGAATTCTCCTGTCTAGTTTTTATCTCAAGATAATTACTATTTTGCCATAGGAATCAAGGGGCTCACAAATATCCCTTTGCAGATTCTACAAAAGTTCTGTTTACAAACCTCTCAATCAAAAGAAACGTTCAACATTGTGAGATGAATGAACACATCACAAAGAAGTTTCTCAGAATGCTTCTGTCTAGATTTTATGTGAAGATATTTGCATTTTCACCTCAGGCCACAAAGCGCTCCAAACATCCCTTTGCAGATGATACGAAAAGACTGTTTCCAAACTGCTCAATCAAAAGAAATTTTCAACTCTGTGAGATGAAAGCACACATCACAGAAAAGTTTCTCAGAAATCTTCTGTCTAGTTATTATGTGAAGATATTTCCTTTTTCACCATAGTCTTTAAACCGCTCAAAAATATCCCTCTGCAGATACTATAAAAAGACTGTTTCCAAACTGGTCCATCAAAGAATGTTTCAACTCTGTGAGATGAATAGACTCATCACAAAGAAGTTTCTCAGAATTCTTCTGTCTAGTTTAAATGTGAAGATATTTCTCTTTCACCACAGACCTCAAATGGCTCAGAAATATGCCTTTGCAGATTGCAGAAAAAGACTGTCTCTAAACTGCTCAAATAAAATAAAGTTTCAACACTGTGAGATGAATGCACACATCACAAAGAAGTTTCTCAGAGAGCTCCTGTCTAGTTTTTATGTGACAATATTTACTATGTCACTATAAGCTTCAAATGTCTCAAAAATATCCCTTTGCAGATTCTACAAAAATATGGTTTCAAAAGTGTGAATTAAAAGAAACCTTCAACTCTGTCAGATGAATGAAGACATCACAAAGAAGTTCCTCAGAATGCTTTGGTCTAGTTTTCATGTAAAGATATTTCCAGTTTCACCGTAGGCCTCAAAGGGCTAAGAAATATCCCTTTCCAGATTCTAAAAGACAACCATTTCCATACTGCTCAATCAAAAGAAAGCTTAAATTCTGTGAGGTGAATGCACACATCAGAATGAAGTTTCTCAGAATTCTTCTCTTTAGTTTTTATGAGAAGATATTTCCTTTGCCACCATTGGCCTCAAAGCACTCCTAATATCCATTTACAGATTTCACGAAAAGAGTGTTTCCAAACAGCTCAATCAAAAGAAAGTGTTTAACTCTGTGAGGTGAAAGCACACATCTCAATGAAGTTTCTCAGAAAGCTTCTGTCCAGTTTATATGTGAAGAAGATTCCTATTTCACCATAGGCAATAAAGGGCTCGCAAATATTTTTTGCAGATTCTACAGAAAGACTGTATCCAAACTGCTCAATAAAAAGAAAGTTTTAACTCTGTTTGATTAATGGACACATCGAAAAGTAGTTTCTCAGAAAACTTCTGTCTAGTTTTTATGTGAAGATATTTCACATTGCACCATAGTACTCAATGGGCTCAGAAATATCCCTTTGCAGATTCTACAAGAGGACTGTTTCCAAACTGCTCAATCCAAAGACAGTTTCAACTATGTGAGATGAATGCATACATCACAAAGAAGTTTCTCAGACTGCTTCTGTTTCGTTTTTACGTGAAGATGTTTCGTTTTTCAACATGGGCCTCAAAAGCTCTCCAAATATCCATTTGCAGATTCTAGAAAAAGAGTGTTTCCAAACTCCTCAATCAAAAGAAAGTTTCAATTCTGTGAGATGAAAGCACACATCACACCGAAGTTTCTTAGAAAGCTTCCGTCTAGTTTTTATGGGAAGATGTTTCTCTTTCACCAGAAGCCTCAAAAGGATCAGAATTCTCCCTTTGCAGATTGTACAATAAGCCTCTTTCCAATCTGCTCAATCAAAAGAAAGTTTCAACTCTGTGAGGTGAATGCACACATCACAAGGGAGTTTCTCAGAAAGCTCCTGTCTAGTTTTTATGTGAAGATATTTCGTATTTCACCACAGGCCATAAGGGGCTCACAAATATCCCTTTGCAGGTTCCACAAAAAGTCTGTTGCCAAACTGCTCAATCAAAAGAAAGGTTCAACTCTGTGACGTGAATGGACACATCACAAACAATTTCTTGGAATGATTCTGTCAGGTTTTTATGTGCAGATATTTCGTTTTCACCATAAGCCTCAAATGGCTCAGAAATATCCCTTTGCAGCTTGTACAAAAAGACTGTTTCCAAGCTGCTCAATCAAAAGAAAGATTCAACTCTGTGAAATGAAAGCACACATCACAAAGAAGTTTCTCAAAATACTTCTGTCTACTTTTTATGTGAGGCTATTTCTTGTTCACCATAGGCCTCGAGCAGCTAAGAAATTTCCCTCTGCAGCTTCTACAAAAGACTGGTTCCAAACTGCTCAACTGAAAGGAAGGTTGAATTCTGTGACATGAATTCACACATCACAGAGAGGTTTTTCAGAAATCTTCTGTCTACTTTTTATGTGAAGATATTTCATATTTCAACAAAGGCCATAAAGGGCTCACAAATATCCCTTTGCAGATTCTAAGGAAAGACATTTTCCAAACTCCTCAATCATAAGAAAGGTTTCACTCTGTGCGATGAATGGACACATCACAAAGAAGTTTCTCAGAAAGCTACTGTGTCGTTTTTATGTGAAGACATTGCCTTTTGCACCCTAGGCCTTAAAACTCTCTAAATACACATTCACAGATTCTACAAAAAGACTGATTCCAAACTGCTCAATCAGAAGAAGGGTTCAATTCCGTGTGACAAACGTGCACATCACCAAGAAATTTGTCAGAAAGCTTCTGTCTAGTTTTCATGGGAAGATATTTATTTTTCACCATTGGCCCCAAACGGCTCAGAAATATCCCTTTGCAGTTTGTAGGAAAAGACTGTTTCCAAACTGCTCAATGAAAAGAAATGGTCAACTATTAGAGATGAATGGAAATGTCACAAAGAGTTTTCACATAAAGCTTCTGTCTACATTTCATGTGAAAGTATTTCCTTTTGCACCATAGGCCTTAAACCGCTCACAAATATAACTCCACTTATACTACCAAGAGACTTTCTCCAAATTGCTAAATCAAAAGAAAGTTTCAACTCTTTGAGAAGAATGCACACATCACAAAGAAGTTTCTCAAAATGCTTCTGTCTAGTTTTTATGTGAAGATATTTCCTTCTTCACCGTAGGCCGCAAATTGTTCCAAATATCCATTTGCGGATTCTACAGAAAGAATGTTTCCAAACTGGTCAATCAACAGAAAGGCTCAACTCTGTGAGACGAAAGCACACATCACAAAGAAGTTTCTCAGAAAGCTTCTGTCTGGTTACTCTGTGAAGATATTTCTTTTTTCACCACAGTCTTTAAGCCACTCAAAAATATCTGTCTGCAGACACTACAAAAAGACTGTTTCCAAAATGGCCCATATAGCATGTTTCAACAATGTGAAATGAATGCACTCATCAAAGAGAAGTTTCTCAGAATTCTTCTGTCTAGTTTTTATCTAAAGAGAATTCCTATTTTGCCATAGGAATCAAGGGGCTCACAAATATCCCTTTGCAGATTCTACAAAAGTTCTGTTTACAAACCTCTCAATCAAAAGAAACGTTCAACATTGTGAGGTGAATGAACACATCACAAAGAAGTTTCTCAGAATGCTTCTGTCTAGAATTTTATGTGAGGATATTTCCATTTTCACCTTAGGCCACAAAGCGCTCCAAACATCCCTTTGCAGATGATACGAAAAGACTGTTTCCAAACTGCTCAATCAAAAGAAATTTTCAACTCTGTGAGATGAAAGCACCCATCACAAAAAAGTTTCTCAGATATCTTCTGTCTAGTTTTTATGTGAAGATATTTCCTTTTTCACCATAGTCCTTACACCGCTCACAAATATCCTTCTGCAGATACTAGAAAAAGACTGTTTCCAAACTGCTCCCTCAAAAGAAAATTTCACCTACCTGAGCTGAATGCACACATCTTAAAAAAGTTTCTCAGAATTCTTCTGTCTAGTTTAAATGTGAAGATAATCCTTTTTCACCACAGACCTCAAATGGCTCAGAAATATACCTTTGCAGATTGTAGAAAGAGACTGTCTCTAAACTGCTCAAATAAAATAAAGTTTCAACACTGTGAGATGAATGCACACATCACAAAGAAGTTTCTCAGAAAGCTCCTGTCTAGTTTCTATGTGAAGATATTTACTATTTCACTATAGGCTTCAAAGGTCTCAAAAATATCCCTTTGCAGATTCTACAAAAATATGCTTTCCAAAGTGCTGAATTAAAAGAAACCTTCAAATCTGTCAGATGAATAGAGACATCACAAAGAAGTTCCTCGGAATGCTTCGGTCTACTTTTCATGTGAAGATATTTCCAGTTTCACCGTAGGCCTCAAAGGGCTAAGAAATATCCCATTCCAGATTTTAAAAGACGACCGTTTCCATACTTCTCAATCAAAAGAAAGGTTAAATTCTCTGAGGTTAATGCCCACGTCAGAATGAAGTTTCTCAGAATTCTTCTGTTTAGTTTTTATGTGAAGATATTTCCTTTGTCACCATTGGCCTCAAAGCACTCCTAATATCCATTTACAGATTTCACAAAAAGAGTGTTTCCAAACAGCTCAATCAAAAGAAAGTGTTTAACTCAGTGAGGTGAAAACACACATCTCAAAGGAGTTTCTCAGAAAGCTTCTGTCCAGTTTATATGTGAAGAAGATTCCTATTTCACCATAGGCAATAAAGGGCTCGCAAATATTTTTTGCAGATTCTAAAGAAAGACTGTATCCAAACTGCTCAATAAAAAGAAAGTTTTAACTCTGTTTGATTAATGGACACATCGAAAAGTAGTTTCTCAGAAAACTTCTGTCTAGTTTTTATGTGAAGATACTTCACAGTGCATCATAGTACTCAATGGGCTCAGAAATATCCCTTGGCAGATTCTACAAAAAGACTGTTTCAAAACTGCTCAATCCAAAGAAAGTTTCAACTATGTGAGATGAATGCACACATCACAAAGAAGTTCCTCAGAATGCTTCTGTTTAGTTTTTACGTGAAGATGTTTCGTTTTTCAACATGGGCCTCAGGAGCTCTCCAAATATCCATTTGCAGATTCTAGAAAAAGAGTGTTTCCAAACTCCTCAATCAAAAGAAAGTTTCAATTCCGTGAGATGAAAACACACATCACACCGAAGTTTCTTAGAAAGCTTCCGTCTAGTTTTTATGGGAAGATGTTTCTCTTTCACCATTAGCCTCAAACGGATCAGAATTCTCCCTTTGCAGATTGTACGATAAGTCTCTTTCCAATCTGCTCAATCAAAAGAAAGTTTCCACTCGGTGAGGTGAATACACACATCGCAAGGGAGTTTCTCAGAAAGCTCCTGTCTAGTTTTTATGTGAAGATATTTCGTATTTCACCACAGGCCATAAGGGGCTCACAAATATCCCTTTGCAGGTTCTACAAAAAGACTGTTTCCAAACTGCTCAATCAAAAGAAAGGTTCAACTCTGTGACGTGAATGGACACATCGCAGGAAATTTCTTGGAATGATTCTGTCTAGTTTTTATGTGAAGATACTTCCTTTTTCACCAAGGGCCTCAAATATCTCCAAATATCCATTTGCAGATTCTACAGAAAGACTTCCCAAACTGCTCAATCAAAAGAAAGTTTCAACACAGTGAGTTGAAGGCACACATCACAAAGAAGTTTCTCAGAAATCTTCTGTCTAGTTTTTATGTGAGGCTATTTCTTGTTCACCATAGGCCTCAAGCAGCTAAGAAATTTCCCTCTGCAGCTTCTACAAAAGACTGGTTCCAAACTGCTCAACTGAAAGGAAGGTTGAATTCTGTGACATGAATTCACACATCACAAAGAGGTTTTTCAGAAATCTTTCTCTCTACTTTTTACGTGAAGATATTTCATATTTCAACAAAGGCCATAAAGGGCTCACAAATATCCCTTTGCAGATTCTAAGAAAAGACATTTTTCAAACTCCTAAATCAAAAGACAGGTTTCACTCTGTGCGATGAAGGGACACATCACAAAGAAGTTTCTCAGAAAGCTACTGTGTAGTTTTTATGTGAAGATATTTCCTTTTTCACTATAGGCCTTAAAACACTCCAAATATACATTTGCAGATTCTACAAAAAGACTGTTTCCAAACTGCTCAATCAAATGAAAGGTTCAACTCTGTGATACAAACGTGCACACCACAAAGGAGTTTCTCAGAAAGCTTCTGCCTAGTTTTCATGTGAAGATATTTATTTTTCACCATTGGCCCCAAACGGCTCAGAAATATCCCTTTGCAGTTTGTAGGAAAAGACTGTTTCCAAACTGCTCAATGAGAAGAAATGGTCAACTATTAGAGATGAATGGAAATGTCACAAGGAGTTCTCTCAAAATGCTTCTGTCTACATTTTATGTGAAGGTATTTCCTTTGGCACCGTAGGCCTTAAACCACTCACAAACATAACTCCGCTTATACTACCAAGAGACTTTCTCCAAATCGCTAAATCAAAAGAAACGTTCAACTCTGTGAGATGAATACACACATCAAAAAGAAGTTTCTCAAAATGCTTCTGTCTAGTTTTTATGTGAAGATATTTCCTTCTTCACCGTAGGCCGCAAATTGCTCCAAATATCCATTTGCGGATTCTACAGAAAGAATGTTTCCAAACTGGTCAATCAACAGAAAGGCTCAACTCTCTGAGACGAAAGCACACATCATAAAGAAGTTTCTCAGAAAGCTTCTGTCTGGTTACTCTGTGAAGATATTTCTTTTTTCACCACAGTCTTTAAGCCACTCAAAAATATCTGTCTGCAGACCCTACAAAAAGACTGTTTCCAAACTGGCCCATATAGCATGTTTCAACTATGTGAAATGAATGCACTCATCAAAGAGAAGTTTCTCAGAATTCTCCTGTCTAGTTTTTATGACAAGATAATTCCTATTTTGCCATAGGAATCAAGGGGCTCACAAATATCCCTTTGCAGATTCTACAAAAGTTGTGTTTACAAACCTCTCAATCAAAAGAAACGTTCAACATTGTGAGATGAATGAACACATCACAAAGAAGTTTCTCAGAATGCTTCTGTCTAGATTTTATGTGAAGATATTTCCATTTTCACGTTAGGCCACAAAGCGCTCCACACATCCCTTTGCAGATGATACGAAAAGACTGTTTCCAAACTGCTCAATCAAAAGAAATTTTCAACTCTGTGAGATGAAAGCACCCATCACAAAAAAGTTTCTCAGAAATCTTCTGTCTAGTTTTTATGTGAAGATATTTCCTTTTTCAGCGTAGTCCTTACACCGCTCACAAATATCCTTCTGCAGATACTAGAAAAAGACTGTTTCCAAACTGCTCCATCAAAAGAAAATTTCACCTACCTGAGATGAATGCACACATCATAAAGAAGTTTCTCAGAATTCTTCTGTCTAGTTTAAATGTGAAGATATTCCTTTTTCACCACAGACCTCAAATGGCTCAGAAATATACCTTTGCAGATTGCAGAAAAAGTCTGTCTCTAAACTGCTCAAATAAAATAAAGTTTCAACACTGTGAGATGAATGCACACATCACAAAGAAGTTTGCTCAGAAAGCT